>NC_000002.12:27673621-27826371 GCF_000001405.40 Homo sapiens | reverse complement strand
TAAACTAGACTTGAGGAAGAATAAACATTTTAGAGTTTTTATTTAGAAGAAACAGATAATTATTCATAAAATATGTTTTGGTTTGTTTTTATGCTTAGAAGCGACTTTAAAATGTGGGTCATTATGAAAAAAGAAGGCTGAGGGGATCTGATGAAGTTTTGGATGTGAATATACTTTGAAAAATATTCAAGTGCAAGAAATGGTTATGTGACATGAAATTAACATCCTGGTTGCCTTTCAAAATGTGCTTTACCAGGTATTTGATAAAGTGTGCTTGGTGTTGCTATTCTCTTCATATTTAGTCATTTCTGAAACTATTAGTTTATTTTCTGTTTTGTCAAGGACAAGAACCTGAATTTGAGGGGATCCTTAGTTCTGAAATCAATCCGCCATTAGACTAACACTACTTTCACTAAAGTGAAAAGACTCTATGCATCTCCTGCTAAAAGTAAAATGAGGATTCCTCAAAGACCTACATGGATGCACAGAAGTGGCTTAGCCCCTATTCTCAGTGTCCATGTTAGTTACTATCCCTTTGGGTTGTAAGCACCAGAAGCACAACTCAGGCTTATGCAGGAAAAAGGATTTATTTGGTGCACATAATTGCAAAGTGTAAAGATATGGCAGAATGCAGAGGCTGAACAGTGTCATCCAGGCAAGTCAGGTCACTTGCTCACTGGCTCCCTCCCTGTCAGCTCTGCCTTCCTCATAGTGGGCTATGAGCTCAGGTGGGTCCACTCCCTACCCACGCTGTGTCTCATGTCATGTCCCTGTCCCTGGTTTCAGATACAAATCACTCTTATCAGAGGATAGGGAAGTGGATGCTGACAAGAAAACAGTAGAATGTCCAGTGTGTTTTAATATATCTAGAGATTTTTCATTTTCTTGCAGAATTTGAAGATGAACTATTAATTGGTACATAGGAAACTGAGGAAAATGTTTAAGTAAAGCAAATTTTCCCTTCTAGGTCATCTAGAACCTAAGGGGAAAAAGTATGATTAAGTGAATATAATCTTTGTACATGACGTGGCTATAAATGCTATAAATGCATAGTCATAACAATGTAAATGCTAATTCTAGATTTAACCAGAAATGGAGATTAGAATAATATTGTGAAGATGGGAGGATAAAGTGAGTGTGCATTTGCACATGGGGGGACATAAGAAAACTAAATGCTTATTTTCCATAATTGGAACTCAAGAGATAATATCTAAAATTGACTTTTTTTTTTTTTTGAGACAGGTTCTCACTCTGTTGCCTAGGCTGGAGTGCAGTGGCTCCATCTTGGCTCACTGCAACCTCTGCCTCCCAGGCTCAGGTGATCCTCCTGCCTCAGTCTCCCAAGTGTTTGGAACTACAGGTACACGCCACCATGCCTGGCTAATTTTTATATTTTTAGTAGAGACAGGGTTTTGCCATGTTGCCCAAGATGGTCTCAAACTTCTGGGCTCAAGCAATCCACCCACTTCAGCCTCCTAGAGTGCTGGGATTATAGGCAATGAGCCACCATGCCCAACCCTAAAACTGGTTTTCTAAAAGCAGTATAAGTGTATTGCCAGAAACATCAGATAATTACCAGAAGAAACCACTAAAAGAATTTAAAGTATTTGCCTCATGAAAATGGGAATGGAGAGGGATTGGGCATTTATACTTAAGCCTTACATGTGTCCACAAAAACTTGTATGTGAATGTTCATAGCAGCATTATTCATAATAGCCAAAAATTGGAAAGAACCCAGTGTTTATCAGCAGATGATGGATAAACAAATTGTGGTATATCCATACGATGGAATATTATTCAGCCATTAAAAAGAATACTGATACATACAACAACATGGATGAACCTCCAAAGCATTATGCTAAGTGAAAGAAGCCAGACACAAAGTGTTAACATATTATATGATTCCATTTAAATGAAATATTCAGAATAGATCAATCCATAGATACAGAGCATAGATGGGTGGTTGCTAGGGACTAGGGGGAGGAGGAATGGGGAGAAACTGCCTAATGGGTAAGGAGTTTTACTTTAGAGTAATGGAAATGTTTTGAAACTAGATAAGAGGTCGGTGATTGTACAACATTGTGACAATACTAAATGCACTGAGTTATTTATGTTAAAATAGGTGAATTATTAAATAATTCTTTTTTAAAAGGAATGAAGTACTGATTCATGCTATGACATGGATGCACCTTGAAAACATACTACTAAGTAAAAGAAGCCAGGCATAAGAGGTCATATATTATGATTTTATTTCTATGAAATATCCAGAATAGGTATTATAAATCCATAGAGACAGGAAGTCAACTGATGGTTGCTGGAAGGGGATGGAGAGTGACTACTAATGAGTATGGAGTTCCTCTTTGGGGTGATGAAAATGTTCTGGAATCAGTGGTAATGGTCGGACAAGCTTGTGGGTAATACTAAAGAACACTAAAGCATACCCCTTTAAAGAGTGAATTTTATGATGCATGAATTATATTTCAAACAACAACAAAAAAGCTCCACCTAAGCAATTCACTTATGAATGGATATTCGTGATAAAGACTCTCCACTGAATTGCCCTGCTGAATATGCGTGAATGGACTCTCAGCATCCCCCAGGTGGAGCAGCAGTGACACTGACAGGAACCAGGGTAGTGATTTTCTGGGTCTAGAATCTTCCTCATCTTTTTTATGCTGTCTTCGTCCTCTCATCCAGCACTTTCATTATTAAAATTCTTACCTGTTCTGCACACAGCTGTGCAGCCTCTTCATAAATCTGATAAAGAGAAGGTAATTCACGTGGCGAGTGAGGAGCTCCCAGGGAGGCATTTTCTTCTGAACAAATGGGCTCCTTCACTTTTCTGTCAGGAGGGTATTACTTGCTCTCAGTCGGTTTGTAACCTTCTCGCTTTTCTCTTCCTCCTAATCCCTTATTAAAAAGTCAGGGATGACATGGGTGCTGGAAACATCTTTAGTTGGCATGTTGTCCACTCAAGGCAGACAGCCTGCCTAGAAGAAGCCATTTCCCGTTCTACGTCAGTGCTTCTGCAGACTGCTATATTCAGTTTTGCCTCACTGTTAATAGTTGAATATATCACTTCTATTTTTACATCTGTTTTTCCCGTTGTACTAGAGTGAGATGGTGGCAGTAGCTGCAGATGTCCTCAGCTCAGTTTGGAAGACATGACAGATGTGTCTCTTCTCCCATTTCTATATGTTATCTGAATCTCAGCCTCCAAATGACAGAGAGTGCATGTCCGCCCTCTCTTCTTCCAACCTGAATGTTAGGGGGTTTGCCTGCTTGCATTTGGGATTGCACTGAGTAAGCACTCCATAGTCAGAGACACACACCTAAGCATGGTATATTTTAGGATTATTGTGCTACTGTGATATATTATAACATTAGTTATCCCTGCTTTATAAGCACTGAAATTCTTGACATATAAATTGCTTTTCTTTATGTAAATGGTTAAGTCCTGGAATCTACAATAACACTCTCAAGAATTTAGTCCGTAGGCTAAATCTGTCTTCTCAAGAATCACTCACTCTGTAATAACGCATGGGTATGTAAGTAAGCTGAGAACAAACAAAAGCCAGGGGCACAGGGAATTTATCTTTCCTATTCTTTATTCTCCTTTCTTTCTATCCTTCACATTTGAGTCCTATAGTGTTCAGAGTTGCTGATGAGGCACTAGGCAGCAGCAGCCAGCTGCATGGGTGTCCCATAACTACTCAGAGCTTGAGAGTTAACTCTAAATTAGGATTGCACCAGTAAGAAGTAGAGATAATTTCTGTTAAAGTTTGCACGGAAGCACTTTCTTAGGATGAGGTGATTGCTGGGGCTGGCAGGTTACTTGCAGGTTTCCCAGGTGGCCTCTTGTATTCCTCTCATCCTGGGGTCTGGCCCGCGGCCATCCCGGCTGTCTCAAGGATGGGGTTAATGGACCCACCTTTTAGGCCCTATCCAGACTGACAGTTCAATCTTTGAAAACCTAGCATCTGAGGGGCCATCATTCCCAACTTGGTGTGACCTTTCCTCCACCCTACATTCTCCTCTCCCCACCCTTGTCACTGCCACCAGTAGAAAGTCAAACTAATATTGCAAAATGTACTCAGAACTAATGAATTGAGGTGATCTCAAGAGGTGTTTCTCAACCCAGGCAACATGAGGCCCTGTTCCCTGCTTAGCCATAGTCCTGCTGGGAAGACTGAATACTCAGCAGTTCTTGCATGGGTACTGCCAGTACTAGTCTCCGTGACTTTCCTTGAACTGTGTTTCCCCAGCAGACTCTTCTTCTTCTTCTCATCTCCTTCTTTCTGATCAACATATACTTTCTTTGCATGTAGTAATTAGTTGAGTTTCTGAGGGGATTTATGGCTCAAAAGCCATTTTGTCCTTGAATAGAGCCTTTGCACATTTCTGTCCAGAAGCTTCTGTTATAGCCAAGATGTTTCGGTGTCCCTTACTGTTTACTGGCAACACTTGAGAAAGGGCTGGGTGGGTAAAATAATATGGTTTAAAAAATGGTCGAATCTTGGGTGCTGAAGAGGTAAAGTAATAAGGCTAATTTTGAACTGCACTGTCAATTTTTCTTATCCAAGAAGTGACTGTTGTTTCCTTCAAACCCTGACTTTAGGAGACTTACTCTATTGACACAGCTACTACTCAAAGTGCCTTTGGAAATCCTCTGTTAGAATTGCCTTGAGAGCCTTCATTATCACCTTTATTCCACTAATCACTTTATTGGGGCTTTTCCTACTTGTGAAATTAATACATACTTTAGTGTTCAAGGAGGGAAGGAGAGCAGCAACACAGAAAGGTATAAAGAAGAAAGTCAAGTATCCATGACCCATCCACTTAAAAGTAATTGTTAACCTTTTGGTGTAAATCTTTCCAGATTTTTTTCTATGCATAGTCATACACTTTTGAATATCTACTTACAGCTAATTTGAATATTTGCAATATTATAGGATTAATATGTGTAATTGCACATATTACAACAAAAAATTACAACTAAAAAATAGTGTAATTACAACTAAAAAAATCAAGTATTTCCCTAGAATAATATAAATAGGCAAGTCACTGAATAAGAAATACGAAAAAAATAAAGAAATGAGACAATGCTTAACCTCATTAGAAGTCAGGATTATACACATTAAAATAACAGTGAGGTCCTCTTTATTACCCATAAGTTTGGCCAAAATTAAAATTTGAGAATGTTTAAGTCCAAATAGATCACAAAACAAATATTATACAATCATGTAATTCTGGTGGGAATGTAAATTTGTACAGTGTTTCCAGAGGGGAAATTTGACAGTACTAATCTTTTTTTTTTTTTTTTTTTTTTTTGAGATGGAGTTTTGCTCTGGGTGCCTAGGCTGGAGTGCAGTGGCGCAGTCTCGGCTCACCGCAACCTCTGCCTCCCCGGTTCAAGCGATTCTCCTGCCTCAGCCTCCCAAGTAGCTGGGATTACAGGCATGCGCCACCACTCCCAGCTAATTTTTTGTATTTAATAGAGACAGGGTTTCACCATGTTGGTCAGGCTGGTCTTGAACTGACCTCAGATGATCCACCCGCCTTGGCCTCCCAAAGTGCTGGAATTATAGGCGTGAGCCACCATGCCCAGCTGACAGTACTAATCTTTAAAATATACTTTCCCTTTGAAAATAGTAAATCTTGGCTGATCATGCTGGCTCACACCTGTAATCCAAGCACTTTGGGAGGCCGAGGCAGGAGGATTGCTTGAGGCCCAGAGTTCAAGAGCAGCCTGGGCAACATAGCAAGACCCTGTCTCAAGAAAAAGAAAGAAAGAGAGAGAGAGAGAGAGAGAGAGAGAGAGAATAGTAAATCTCCTTCTAAGAGTCTATCCTACAAAAATGCTCACATACACAAATATTTGTACAAGAATGTTTAATTCAACTTTGTTTGCAATAACCAAAAATTGAGAAGGTGTGTCCTCCTAATCATCAATAGGAGAAGGGCAAATATGAATAATAATGTAGTGCCATTTACTTGAAAGTAACTCTCTAGCTATCTCTAAGTAAATGCATATTTTAAAATCTGGAAAAAACCTCACCAGCTGTTATGATCATTATTCCTGGGAAGGGGTATAGGCTGGGGAGAAGGTGTTATAAAGGGGGACTTCTGTCTACTCCATACTCTACTGAATTATTTGAGTTTTTCCATAAGCCTGTATTTTTCATGTATTACTTTGTAATTTGAAATAAATGTGACTTTGGGCATGACCAAAAGCTATTTGGAGCCACATCTAGCAAATAAGATCGGTGATATCATTTCTCTGAGGGTGTACTGGGCATTATCCTCACAAAGAACCTCTCAAGCAGTTCATAATCTTCATGTAACTGGGCCGAGGAGCCCCTTGACGTAGGATAAACTCTGAATGGATGGACTCCTAGTGCCAAAAACTTAGATCTCCATTACCTTCCTATTGAGGGCACTTGAGGCTCCTTCTGTCTGGTAGTTTGTTATATACTTTGACAGGTTTTTTTCCTTAATCTTTTTAAAGAAACCATTCCTCAGAAAACATGTTATTTTATACAGTTCTTCTTGGAAATACCAGAATAAATGTCAAAGCATCACTGTTTCTGTTCGTCATTCAAATGTACAGCAGATCTTCAGACAAATTTTCCTCACGTTCAGGTTTTCTGAATGAATGAATCTGCTTATAGATTTCCATTTAACTCTTCAACCCTCAGTCTCACAATTAATCATAGCTTGAGTGATATTAACTCTGGCTTTTGCCACATTGCTTGGTCTTCAGTTGATGGATTATCTGGAGTTGTAAAAGGGATCGGCCAATAGGTGATGCCTCATGTTTAGGTATTTGGTAGTTCACGTACTTCATCTCCCATTTGAAACAGTCCTGGATGGAATGGTTCATGAAAGATGGAGGAACATGTAACACCATGCTGTGGACTGAATTGCGTTCCCACCAAAATTCATATGTTGAAGCCTTAACCCCCAATGTGACTGTATTTGGAGATAGGAAAAGAAAGTAATTATGGTTAAATGAGGTCATAAGGGGTAGGGTCCTGGTTCGATGGGAGAGAGCTCTCTCGCTCTCTCCCTTTTTCTCTCTCTCTCTGTGTGCACACAAAGAGTCATGTGAGCACACAGCAAGATGGTGGCCACCTACAAGCCAAGAGAAGAGGCCTCAGAATGAAACCTACTTTGCCAGTACCTTGATCTTGGACTTCCCAGCCTCCAGAACTGTGAGAAATAAATTTCTATTATTTAAGCTATTCAGTCCATGGTATTTTGTCACAGCAGCCCTAGCAGCCTAATACACACAAGGAATCAAGTGAATGTGCTTCAGAAGTGACCTGAAGTGAATGCTAGAAAATTGGCTGTTCTGTAAGGAGAAAGTAATCCAAAGCAAACTAAGAGGACTGGCCTAAATCATCTTTTTGGTGAAATATCTCAGGGGTTTTTGCATATGGTTTAGCTGTAGTCATCAGTCCCAGTGGCCTGAGTTCTAACCCTGATTTAGCCATTAACTAGCGGTGCTGCTTTGGGCAAATGATGTCTTATGTTTGGGGCTCAGGTTGTTCATCTAAGCATGATGTGTCTGGTGTGGCTGATCTCTGAGGCACCTCTGACCTCTGAAATTCCTTGGTTCATTAGCCTCTGAAATTAGATTCTTTGGGGGCATGAGGATTCTTTAGGCTAATAATAAAAGCTGGGCACCACACTGTGCCAGGCATCATGCTGGACTCTATGCATTACTTCACATTCTCAGAACAACCTGCAGGATGGGTTTTTGACTGTTTGAGGGAGGAGGCAACTATGGTTCTCAAAGGTTACATGACCTGCCCAGGGGCCTACAGCTGGTAAGTTGGCAGAGCCAGGATTGATTTTTAAGTTGGTCGGTCTGCCTATCTGTCTGTCTGTCTGTCTCCAACACCCATGTACTTGCTACCTCAGTCACCACCCTGCCTCTTGATTTGGTGACAGTCTGCCTAGTCTTCACTCTCTCTTATTTGACATTCCAGCACTGACTTTCCTTGTCACTTGTCATGATACAGGCTCCTTGTCTATAGATCTTCAGAAGCGGCCAGATCTTGAAAAGGCCTTGCTTACTTTGTACAGTACACTGCAGCCTCGTTTAAATGAAATAATCCACGTATACCCTGAGAACAGTGCCTGGCACATGTAAGCCCTTAGTATGTGTTAGTTCTTACTAGTACATCCCTATATACCTGATTGTTCACTTTACCACTTTATGGATCATTTAGGTACCAGGTAGCGTAGACCAGGAGCTTGTATCACCCACCATTAAGCAGAATGGATATTCTCTTGGCTCTGTATATTAGTATAATGCACCATGATGCAACTCCAGCTTCTTCCTACCATGGTAAGGAGCAGGACCACGTGGTGATATAGTTTGGCTCTGTGTCCCCACCCAAATCTCATCTCGAATTGTAATCCCCAGGTGTTGAGGGAGGGACCTGGTGGGAGGTGATTAGATTATGGGGGCACTTTTCGCCATGCTATTCTTGTGATAGTGAGTTCTCACGAGATCTGATGATTTTATAAGGGGCTCTTCTCCCTTCCCTTCACATGCTCTATCTCACCTGCAGCCATGGAAGATGGGCCTACTTGTGACTTGTCATGATACAGGCGTCTATAATTACTCCTTTTCTGTAGACCTTCAGAAGCTGCCAGATCTTGAAAAGGCCTTGCTTACCTTGTACAGTATACTGCAGCCTCAGTTAAATGAAATAATCCATGTATACCCTGGGACAGTGCTTCCTTCCACCATGATTGTAAGTTTCCTGAGGCCTCCACAGCCATGCGGAACTGTGAGTCAGTTAAACCTCCTTTCTTTATAAATTACCCAGTCTTGGGTATTTCTTTATAGCAGTGTGAAAATGGACTAATACACATGGACAGTGATGTTGCAGGATCATGCCCATTCCAGACAGCAAAGGTTCTGGAACAACTCATGTTCATTCATTCTCATCAGTGAATGATCAAACCTGGAGGAGAGGTGCACCACTCTCAGACACTATAACCAAATCATTTTTTTATTACATTTCTTTAAGTAGAAGCTAAACTATAAACTGCTAAACTATAAAGGTAGTGAAAATGTGATTCTTCTTTTTTAACATTCACAAACCAGCTTTTTAGTTGAGGCAAACTCCTGCCCATCCTTAAGGTCCATCTCAGAGGTTCTCTTGGGGCAACCCCACTGCTTAATACAATGCTTGGCATATAATAACAGGCCCTCTGCAAATAATAAAAGAGTTCTGGTTCCTTCTGGGAAAGTAACTAGTTTGAGTGTTAAGAGTCGCTTACCCTCCCTAAGCCTTAGTTTTCTCAGGGGACTAGGGGATCAACTGGATTTCTTACATTCCTTAAGTTCTACATTTAAGATGCCCAGGGAAACAATAAATCTTAGATATAAATGCTCCTTATAAATGATTTGAAAACAGAATAATTGCCCAGTTTTCCATTTTAAAACATATCCTTAGGCCGGGCGCGGTGGCTCACGCCTGTTATCCCAGCACTTTGGGAGGCCAAGGCGGGTGGATCACGAGGTCAGGAGATCGAGACCATCCTGGCTAACATAGTGAAACCCTGTCTCTACTAAAAATACAAAAAATTAGCTGGGCGTGGTGGCAGGCACCTGTAGTCCCAGCTACTCGGGAGGCTGAGGCAGGAGAATGGCTGAACCCAGGAGGCGGAGCTTGCAGTGAGCCGAGACCAGCCTGGGTGACAGAGGGAGACTCCTCAAAAACAAAAAAACAAAAAAACAAAAAAACACATATCCTTAGATTGTTTTACCTACAGTCATACAAAGACCAGGCCAAAAAAAACTAAGTTACAGAGAGTGCACAACATCTCTGAAATCAGCATCATAGAATAAAGAAAACCCAAATGAGGTTCCGAAACAGCCCTCTTAACCTTAGAAATGATGTTAGTAAAACTCTGCACACTCTGGTGGCTGGAAAAAATGAAGAAGACAAAAAGTTGTTCACTGACTGTAAGGAAAGGACAGAGGACAAGGTAATTGCAGAAGAGATGGATAGACAAGGCACAAGACATCTGTCATGCCCAGGGGGCCATATTAGCTCTATTACATTACTTCCACATCAACAGATCACCTCATTTATTAGCTAATCAGGCAGAATTCAATATTTTAAATTATCTTTCTTAATCCTGCGTGTGATCAGTTGAATACCCAGGGCTCTAGAAATCTAATTGTAACTGCTTACCAGAAATGTCATCTTCACTTTGAGGAATTGAACCAGGGCCAAATCTAAGGCTGTTTTTTCCATTTTCCCAAGGTACTGTCCCACAGACCTGGACATGCGTGTACATGTGACTACCGCCTGACAGCTTAGGGGCTCCCTGAGGGGATCTGGGCCCCTGGCCCTGCTTCAGAACTCAAATACGGCCAGGGACTGAAAGAGGAATATGGTAGTAGAAGTGGGGTATGGAAGTGGATGTACAGTACAGAAAAGGAACCATTGTTTCAGCCTTGGAAAAAGTCAAGAGAGAAAGAACTAAATCTAGATTTAGAATGTTCTGTGGACCTAGACATGAAATAGTCCCTCTGCCCAGTGAGAGGGCATTGTATAAGGTTATGGGAGCTTGCTTACCCATCTACGATTAGGATTTCGCTTCCTCTTAGCTTCCTACGTCTAAGCCCCACCTGTCCACCCTCCTTAAGCTTCTAAGACATTGATGTGATAATATGGCAGTGAGCCTGTGGTCTACTCCTCGCCCATCTTCCTAGGGTGTTGTAATGGTGTTCTCAGGAGCAAAACTGCCAGGACAACACAAAAGATTTTCTTAGTGGTTTCCATTGAGTGACAATGTTTCTAGGGTAGACCTGAAATTATGAGGAGGTGAAAGAAAACCACCTAGAGCTAGGCGCAATGGTGCAAGCCTGTAATCCCAGCACTTTGGGAGGCAGATGTGGGCAGATTGAGCTCAGGAGTACAAGACCAGCCTGGGCAACATGGCGAAACCCCATTTCGACAAAAAAAGTTAGCCAGCATGGTGGCACACGTCTGTAGTCCCCACTACTTCGGAGGCTGAGGCAAGAGGATCACTTGAGCCTGGGAGACCAAGGCTGCAGTGAGCTGAGATCATGCCACTATATTCCAGCCTGGGCAACAGAGTGAGACCCTGTCTCAAAAAGAGGGGGGAAAAAAAACCACCTAGAGCCAAACCATAGAGCCCATGGCAGTGGGAGCCATGCCCACTGCCCTCAATGCCCATTGCTGCTGATGGAGTTGGACAAGGAAATAGAAAAAGAGGTGTGTGGTTCATAGCTTGCTGAACTCTGCCCTTTGTATAAAAGTGTGTGCATGTGTGTTTGTGTTGTAGGTTAATGGTGTGTATACTTTGCATGTCTATGTTGATGGCATGTACTGTGAATAAACAGTTAATTGCATGAATGTCATGTGCTTATGTGTACGTGTGTGTGTGAACAGAATGTACTGCAGTGGGACAGAGTTCAGCTATAAAGCAATTCATTCTTGCTTTCCTCTTCCTATTTCAGTTCCTTTAAGAACAAATACAGAAGTGTTCTATACTGTGGTACAACCTCTGAAAAAGCTATGGATTTGGAGATCAAAGGGATCCAGAGGTTAGGTGAAGTACATCTCCCCTAAGAGATGCTCTAAAAACTGAAAATGTTACATTGTTTTCTTTCCTTGGTCAAGCAAACAAAAATTAGAAAAAGATTATAGTGACATCTGCTAGGTGCCTTCCGCATGACTGTCCTGTTCCCAATTAGGAAAATCTTTTTCCTTCATTTAGTATTCTCTTTAACTTTTAGTTTTAATATGTAGGAATCTAATTGTTTAGATCAAGTTGTATGTGACTATAATTTGCATTAAATACATACATTTATTTCGCCCCTCACTAGTCCAAGGCAAATCAGATTGCCTCTCTTTCCTTCCTTCCTTTCCTCCTTTTATCCTTTCTTCCTTCAAATGAAATATTTCAACCACACTAAACAGTATAGAGAATAATATCATGAACATCCATTGACTCACCACCTAGCTTTATTGATTTTTAACATTTTGCTATTTTTGCTTCTGATAGTTTTAAGAAATAAAATATTACAAACACACTATGACACCTGTGTTTAAGATGCTTAATGTTATGAAGAGGTTAGCTTTTTTTCTTTTAAGAGATCGGGTCTCACTCTGCCACCCATGCTGGAGTGCAGTGGCACCATCATAGTTCACTGTAGCCTCAAACTCCTGGGCTCAAGCCATCCTCCCACCTTAGCCTCCTGAGTAGCTGGGACCACAGGCATACACCATTATGCCCAGCTGATTTTTTTTTTTCTAGAGCTGGCGTCTCACTTTGTTGCACAGCCTTGTCTTATACTCCTTCCTGGCTTCAAGCAATCCTCCCACCTCAGCCTCCCAAAGTGCTGGAATTATAGGCATGAGCCACCACACTGAACCAGAACTTAGCTATTAATAATACATTTGAAGACAGTATTAGCTTATTAAAATGTCTCGTTCTTTGTCATTCTGCAGTTTTACTACAGGGAATCTAGATCTGAATTTATTTATACTGCTCGTGACTCTTCTTCCTGAATCTCAGTATTTATGTTTTTCATCAATTCTGAAAAACTCACAACCATTTTCTCTTATTGTTGCCTTTCCCCTATTTTCTCTGGGAACCCTATTAGATATTCGCTCTCTCTCTCTCTCCATACATATATATATATAGATATATAGATATAGATCTATGTAGACCTTCTCTTTCTATTCTTCATGTCTTTTAAATTTTGTCTCTTTCATAATTTCTATATCCTGGACTCTCAGTACTATATTCTGGGTTATTTCTTCAGGTCTTTTGCCCAGTTCATTAATTGTCTTCTTAGCCATGCCTAATTTGTTTAGAAACCTGTTTTTGTGTTTAGAAACCGTATTTTTCATTTCTAAAATTTCCATTTGATTCTATCTCAAACCTGTCCATTCTTTCATATGGTAGATTCTTATTTTAAAATTTCTTATTTTGTCTTTAATCATTTTAAACATGTGTCTGTAGTTTCTTTTAGCTGACTCTATTATCTGAAATTGCTGAGGACTAATTTCATGTCTAACTGCTTACTCTTCATGGTAGATTGTTTTGTCACATGTTTTATAATTGCGGGCTGTGAGCTTATCTTCAGTGGTACTTGATCTGTGAGAATCCTATGTAGTCTAGGTTGAAGGTATTTCTTGCCAGAGAAATTTGCCTTTGCTTCTGCCTGCTGCCCCAGGAGTATCCCTAGCTGAGGAATACTTTTATTTTGATCTCTTGGCTTGTGAATTTCTGGCCACACAGGTAGTATAAATTTCTTTTTTTTTTTTTAATGGCTTCTTTTTGTCTGTTTATTTCTGCTTTATATTATGAAACCTTTGTTAAAATGTACTACAGCATATAAAACTACATATTTTAGATGATCTGTTCTTCAGGTCTATCTCTATACCTTAATCCTAACTTTAACCCTTTTTTTTTTCTAAGCACTTTTCTAAGTACTTTATTTTTTATTTTATTATACTTTAAGTTCTAGGTTACATGTGCACAATGTGCAGGTTTGTTACGTATGTATACATGTGCCATGTTGGTGTGCTGCACCCATTAACTCATCATTTACATTAGATATATCTCCTAATGCTGTCCCTCCCCGCTTCCCCCACCCCACAACAGGCCCTGGTGTGTGATGTTCCCCTTCCTGTGTCCAAGTGTTCTCATTGTTCAATTCCCACCTATGAATGAGAACATGCGGTGTTTGGTTTTTTGTCCTTGCGATAGTTTGCTGAGAATGATGGTTTCCAGCTTCATCCATGTCCCTACAAAAGACATGAACTCATCCTTTTATGGCTGCATAGTATTCCATGGTATATATGTGCCACATTTTCTTAATCCAGTTTATCATTGATGGACATTTGGGTTGGTTCCAAGTCTTTGCTGTTGTGAATAGTACCACAATAAACATACGTGTGCATGTGTCTTTATAGCAGCATGATTTATAATCCTTTGGGTATGTACCCAGTAATGGGATGGCTGGGTCAAATGGTATTTCTAGTTCTAGATCCTTGAGGAATCGCCACACTGTCTTCCACAATGGTTGAACTAGTTTACAGTCCCACCAACAGTGTAAAAGTGTTCCTATTTCTCCACATCCTCTCCAGCACCTGTTGTTTCCTGACTTTTTAACTGGTGTGAGATGGTATCTCATTATGGTTTTGATTTGCATTTCTCTGGTGGCCAGTGATGATGAGCATTTTTTCCTGTGTCTGTTGGCTGCATAAATTTCTTACAAATTTACAAGAAAAAAACAGCCCCATCAAAAAGTGGGCAAAGGATATGAACAAACACTTCTCAAAAGGTAGTATAAATTTCACAACCCAAACTGCTTAGGAAGAGGATCACATTACAAAGTCTCAGTGACAGGATTTGTTGCTGTTTCTCTGAGCCAGTGGTGGAATTTTTTTTTCCTGGTTCATCTTTTCTGTAGGAGTCTTAGTTCCAGCACTCCACTTTGCTTGAAACCCACCTTTTGTCCAAACATGGCCATTAAAACCCAAGCCCCATGATTACCCGGACCAGCAAACTGCTTGGATGGCCATAGTTTATGCTCTTGCCGTGCTAGTTTTTAGAACTCTCTTTGTTTTTGGACTCTGGGAAAATCTTATTTCTATTTTTTAGATATATTAATAGTAATAAGGCTTCTGTTTTATCCCAGAGTTCTGAGTATCTTGTAGAAGGAGAGTTTTCAGATCTCTAGGCTACAACATTGCTACAAAGAGAAGCCTAAATTGGGTTTCTTCACAGGCAGTGATCACAGTCAAGGTCCTCAGGCTGCCTTTCATCTTATTCTCAGAGCATCGTGGGAGTTCCAAGACTAATGATACAAAAGCAGCCTCTAGAACTGAAAACAGTTCCTTAAGAAATAGGAAATATTCTATTGGAAAGAATGGCAAAATGGAATGAGGCACATCCCACTGTACACTTTCTTATTCAGCACACTCTGAATTTTCCACATGCCACACAGTGGATATACACTGGTATGCCAGGGACACACTGGCATAATAAGACAGTCCCTGGCCACAAAGAGCTTGGAATCTAGAAGAGTGCATAGTCCATACAGCTAGAATGAGAAGTCCCATGGTGATGCAGTGGAGGGGGCCCACCTAGCCTGAGGAGCCCAGGGAAGCTGTTTGAGAGGGTAAGGGAAGGAGCTGAGCTGAAGGATAAGGCAGAGGCAGCTTGGTAAAGTGGCACTCAGGCAGAGGCAGCAGCTCATGAAGCAGCTAAAGGGAGCATGGCATATTTGTGCTGCTTCAAATAGTTCCATTTGGAAAGACCTGAGTACAAAGGAGAGTTAAGGATGAAGTGGAGAGGTGGCAGGGTTGGGTTGTAAAGGGCTTCCTTTGCCACTTCTGAGAATTCACACTTCTGAGGGCAATGGGGAGCCATTTAAGCAAGGGATACATTTGATCAGATTTATACTTTATAAAAAGATTAATATGGCTGCTGTGTGAAGAATAAATTGGAGTTTACAAGACTGGAGTCAGGGAGAACAGTCCAGAGACTGTCGTATTGATCTGGGTGAGAGATGGTGGCAGCCTGGACTAGGGAAGTGGAAATGGGGATGCTGAGAAGTGGGTTTGAGAGCTCATGGGAATTCAGATGACATAAAGATAGTTCATTTCCTTAAAAAAAGTGGGGGCAGTGGGGCGATAACTAAGATGGTTATTTCATAGTTGAAACAAACAGATCATTCTGTCAGTCTGAGTGGTTTTCAGCATATTTTTTACTCCGACTCACATAAAGGCTAAAACCTACTCCCACTAGAAAGAGTTCCTGTCATCAGTGATTCTCTGCAGATAGCACAGAAAGATGCCTGTATAACTTACAAAAAATAAAATTAAAATCTCAGGTGATCCATAAATGCCCTTCCATCCGGTAAATGCCCTTCCATCCAGTATGCCTGCCTTCTAGGGAATGAATGATCTGTGTAACAGGCAAGCATTTGGAGCAGAAATCAATCCTTCATTTAAAGTAACTGACATTTGAAGGTAACTCTTTTGCAACATAATGCTAGTTCAGATACTTGCCCTACCACCTGTGCCTTAGACACTAGCTTATTCCTGGTAGAAACACAGCCTTCACGTAACTATGCATCCTTCCCTGATAAAGTGACAAATCAGCCAGTATATGACGAATTTGGGTTGTGTAGACAAATATACCAGGTGCACCAGCCAAGACATACACAGTTGGTTGTGAATCATCCACACCAGCTTTCAATGCAGTTAGATTCACAGAACAATTGCTCAGTTCCTTCCTTCATTTTCACAGTGTAGACCTGGCTCAAGACCCAAGAGTGAAGCAGCAAGTGTGAAGAAGCAGAAACATTATAAATAACCCAGAGAATCCTTTTATAACAGCAACTGCCTACTGATTTTGTGGCCTAACAGCTCGAGCAAAAATGAATATAAATACAACATTGTGCAATGACTAATTACTCAAAATTTTGTGCATCAGCAGAAGTGGAACCTGTGGTTGGTGCTAATATTATGAAATGCCTTTGCTGTTTAATAATCTGGTAGCTCTGTATTATTTAGCATGCATTTTTCTTGGAGAACAATGATTTTATTTCAAGTACCTCTCACTGAAATAAAAAAGCAGCTGTTAGAAGATGAACATTTAGCAGAAAATATTTTAGCGAGTCTTTTGTAAGATACTAAGTCCTATTGGATTAACTGTTTTCTGTCTAGAATAGTGGGGTCACAAAAAAAAGGGGATTGCTGACCACAAAAGGCAAAAGGCCAACCTTTAGAACTCAGTGAATCACTAACAGACATTTTAGTTTTAATTGCGATTTACTCACCAATATATATACAAAGCTCTCATTAATATTGCCTGAAGAATGGGCCCTTTTTAATTCCATTTTTAGCTCGCTCTCAGGATTCCACTTCTCTTTCATTAACATGGAATTCTTTAAATTATAGAATAAATTAACCCACCGCAAACATTTTGGGCAGAATGGGGTTTTCAGCAATTTTCAGCCTCCACAGGCCATTCTTCTCAGCAGCTTGCCAGCCAGCAGAGCGGTGAGGGCCATGGCTGGGAGCAGCACCTGCCCCTGAACTTGAAGAGAGGCTAGAGCAGCCCAATGGGCTCCTGGCCCAAGCCCACTCTCAGGGTGACAGTGTCCTTCACATGTTCCTCAGGCTGGCCAAACAAGGGGTGTGCCAGTGCGTAAGCCACATCACCATAAGGCTGCTGGGCACAGCCAGTTTCAGCCAAAGAACATTATGGTTGAGCTGCATTAATGTGCCCATATTGACTCAGGGACAATTTTTACATTATTATAAGCAAAACAGAAAATGTTCTCTTTTAAATTATCAAGAAATGTGAAAAAACAAAGAGTTTCATTTTATCTCCAGTTCCCATTCCTGGGGTGAAGTGGGTGATAGGTAAAGATTAAAAATGGAAGAGTTTTCAGAGATGGCTGAAGATTACCTAGAGGGTGAGGCTCAGGCTTGGGCCGAGGGTGGAATGAGGTATAGAAAAGGGAAAGGATCAGGCATGTCTGTTCTGTATATTATTTGGCAATACAAGACAGTATATCTACATTTTTTACAAATGTTATCTCAAAACACCTTCGTCAAAATGCTCCACTTCAGTCCTGGTCTGACCAGCCAGCCCAGAGCCCATCACAAACTAACAAAGCTGAGAATGGACCCTGAGACACGGTCAGGCCCCAGATGGAGCCAGCCAGTGGCCTCTGTCAATATGAACTAATGGCTGACTTGGACTGGGAGCCATTTGTCAACAATAGTGGGGCCAGATCTGTCCATGGCACCAACCTGTGAGGTAGGTTGAGCACCACAACCAAGCACCTCAACCTGTGTGAAGACTGAGATGGCTGAGACACACTGCATCAGGCAGGGGATTTCTTTTGTCTTTGACTCAATTTTAGATGGAATCCAAGTGATGCAGTTACTATGATTATCTGTACTCTTTCTTAAAAATGGTTACTAAATACTTGTAGGGTACCAATAAAGGAAGAATCTGGCAGTTCTGGGATGAAAGTTAATAGAGTTTTTCTTGTTTTATAGTAGTTGAAATATAATCAATGTATTGAAATTCAGAAGATCAGTGTCATTCGTAATACCACTTATGGTCACTTTGGGCAGTGAAGTGCTGCCCTGAGCATATCTTAGCCCCACCTTACTTTGATTTTGCACTCAACCGCTTATTGATCCTTCTCTGTTCTCACCTATCTTAATGAAAGAAGGCTTTAGCCTCATAAACCTCATTCCAGATAGAAATACATAATTCAAGAGAAACACTGATGTCAAAGAAGAGAAGGCATACCAATTTGTGTCAGCATTTGCTGTAAATTAGAGAGGAGTACAGGGAGAGTTTAATGTAATGTAGAATTGGAATTAAAATAGAACCAATATTTAGGCAGTCCTCCACCTCTTTTTTTCCCTGCTGTGACATGAAGGATTGACTTTCTCCCAGCTTAAGTACCTAATGTAGTTCATTTTTTTTCCTTTCTGCTGGGATTCCCCCCCACAAAATACTACATATTTATTTCTGGCATCCAAAATTAAATATTTTCACCTTTTCCATTCCAATCACAACCAAAAACTCAGGGTATGAAGAGTTGGAGTTTCCCCCTCATCTTCCACACCTTTGCAGCATAGAAAGGACCTCTGGTGGCCGGGCACAGTACCTCATTCCTGGAATCCCAGTACTTTGTGAGGCCAAGACAAGAGGATCGCTTGAGCCCAGGAGTTGCTGGGCAACAATAGAGAGACCTCATCTCTACAAAAAAATTTTTTATAGCCAGGCGTGGTGGCAAATGCCTGTAGTCCCAGCTACTCAGGAGGCTGAGTTGGGAGGATCGTTTGAGTCCGGGGAGGTCAAAGCTGCAGTGAGCCGTGATTGCACCACTGCACTCCAGCCTGGGTGACAGAGCAAGACCCTGTCTCAAAAAAAGAAAAAAAAGACCTCTGCCATGCCAGTGTAATCAGTTCAGCTGTTGTAAATCACTATTAATCCCTCCTTAATACAGTACTAATGTGGGTGTTACCTCCATGGTTTCTTTTTTCCTAAGCTGAGAATAAAAGGTTGATAGTGAACATCTCACAATGTAAATTTGTGCAAGGTGTTCCTGTACACTTGTGAGAATTCTTTAGCACACATGCAAGAGTGTTCTTCCTTTTAAAGTGGTCACATTGGGAAGCTTCACATTCAGACCACATGTTGTTTTCAGAACCTTTTTGGAGCTCTTTATTTGAATTTCTGCCAGAGCCGATCTTGTTCTTTACAGTTGCCCATTGGTTTTGGCCAATGGTGGAGTTCCCTAGCTTGATCCCTCACCTTAATCATTAGACTTGGCTTTAAACAATTCACTCTTTCCAGAAATAAATTCCTTAGGATATGGTTCTCAAAATATGGCCCTAAAGCCAGCAGTATCGGCATCACCTGGGAAGTCATTTGAAACACAAATCCCAGGCCCCACCTTAGATTTAATGGATCAGAAACTTTGGGGATGGAGCCCAGCAGTCGGTGTTTTAACAAACCCTCCAGGCGATTCCAGTGCATGCTCAAGTTTAAGAATCACTGACTGAGATGAAATGTGCCTCCATTGAGGATATTCAAAGATATGCTACAGATTTTGAAGGTACTGAAAGAGAAGTTTCAAAATATTTTTGAGCAAAGTTAGAATACATTTATGGCCTCCCCAGAGGACTGCTTTAATGGGGACTGGGATTTAACCAAGGTGTTCCAGTTCTATCACCTAGCCATTTGACCTTGAGCAAGTTCTTACACTTGGTTTCTCATCCGGAAAATCAAAGACCCACCCTACCTACCTCACGGCATTGCAATGAAATTCAAATTTAATCACATCTGCAAACATGCCCTGTAAACCAGAAAGTGCTGTGGAAAACTGAAAGTCATGTCACACTCTGCAGGCAGAATTCTGGTAGCCTGAACATTATGTCAGGGAAATGAGTGGGGCAAAGGCTTATATTTATCATTTCCCTGGCCAGATATACCTTTTTGTCTATATAATGGCCTTATGGATGTGTCTCAGATTCTGCCATTTCAGCCTACCAATTCATCTGGTATTAAGAGAGGAAAACCATTGCCTGACTAGTAGCTACAAAATGCTAGAAAAATATTAATATATCCATTTTCAGGTCGGTCCTGGTGGCTCACGCCTTTAATCCCAGCACTTTGGGAGGCCGAGGCGGGCGAATCGTTTGAGCCCAGATGTTTGAGACCAGCGTGGGCAACGTGGCAAAACCCTGACTCTACAAAAAAATACCAAAAAAATTAACCACCCACCTGTAGTCCCAGCTACCTGGGAGGCTGAGATAGGAGGATCACTTGAGCCCAGGAGGTTGAGCCTACAGTGAGCTGAGATCATGCCATTGCACTCCAGCCTGGGAAACAGAGTGAAACCCTGTCTCAAAAAAAAAAGAAAAGAAAAATATATCCATTTTTTGGCCGGGCAAGGTGGCTCATGCCTGTAATCCCAGCACTTTGAGAGGCCAGTGTGGGTGGATTACTTGAGGTCAGGAGTTTGAGACTAGCCTGACCTGTATGGTGAAACCCCGTCTCTACTAAAAATACAAAAATTTCCCAGGCATGGTGGTGCACGCTTGTAATCCCAGCTACTCGGGAGGCTGAGGCAGGAGAATCGCTTGAACCCGGAAGGTAGAGGTTGCAGTGAGCTGAGATCGCGCCACTGCACTCCAGCCTGGGCGACAGAGTGAGACTCAGTCTCAAAAAAATGAAAATAAAAAATACAAAAGAAAAATATATCAGTTTTCAAACTTGCTGTTTCCTACAAGGACCCGGGAAAGCTGGGAAATGAGCCATCAGGGCCAACTATGTTGTGTGGATACTGAAGCTCTTATGCCTGGAACATGGCACACACCAGCAGTGCAAGGGTCTGTCCTAAAAATATCATTTTATGCCTGTGCAGGGGTGTCTGGACCTTCAAGGAGGAAGCTCAGTGCTCATTGCCACACATTAATCACTGCAGAGAGACCGAAAAGAAAAGCCCTCAAGAAAATCAGGTCTATGGAAACCAAGATTTACAGACCAAACCAGTTAATGCAAGTTTGTCCAACACAAATTTGTAAACTTTCTTAAAACATTATGAGAATTTTTCTGCGATTTTTTAAACCTCATCAGCTATCGTTAGTGTATTTTATGGCCCAAGACAATTCTTCCAGTGTGGCCCAGGGAAGCCAAAAGATTAGACACCCCTGAATGTATCTGTGTTTGAGAAGAATGTGGATGGATTTTTACCTTAGAGATTAGCCTTTACAAACAACATCATAGGATTTTTTTTTTTTTTTAAGACAAGGTCTCACTGTCACCCAGGCTAGAGTGCACAGCTCACTGCAGCCTCGACTTCCTGGGCTTCAACAATCCTCCCACCTCAACCTCCAGAGTACCTGGGACCACAGGTGTGCACCACCACACCTGGCTAAAGTTTTGCATTTTTTTGTAGAGACGAGGTTTTGCCATCTTCCTGAGCTCAAGCAATCCGCCGGCCTTGGCCTCCCAAAGTGCTGAGTTTACAGGCTTGAGCCACCGTGCCTGGCCAGGAATTCTTAAACAGCAAGCTCCTGGTACATTTATAATTTAATTTGAAAACTTTACAAACTCTTTAATGAACACTTCTGGCCAGGAAGGAAGCTAAACCTGTTGCCTCAGTGCTTATTGGGAATGAAGTTTCAATAACACAGAACCACCTGGCCAACACCAACTTCACTTTTCGCACAAAGTGCCAGCTAAAATCGAGATTAGGTGTGAATATATTAATAATTGGTTTATTATGGTTACATTATTGGATAATTATGGAACAATAAGCTATTGTTTAATTATAGAATTAGAATATGAAATGATTTTGCTCAAAAATGTGGCCCCACTTAACAAATCTCTAGAGACAAAGCAGATAAGTGGTTCCTAGGCCTGTGGATGGTTGGGAGGAATGGGGAGTGACTGTTAATGAGTATGAGGTTTCTTTCAAGGGAGATGAAGATTTCTAAAATTAGATTGTGGTGATGGTTGCTCAACTCTGTAACTATACTGAAGAACATTGGATTGTACACTTTAAATGGGTGTATTATATGTATATTAATTATATCTCAAAGTTGTTTTTTTAAATCCAATAGCTAATGAATTGTAGAGCCAAGACAAAAAAATTGTACCTATTTAAAAGACAGAAGCAAAAATAATATCAAAACTTTGCTGCATGCAGTTTCAGACTTGATTCATATGAAAGTGGTCATTTGAAATACATTAAGCCAGAAAATATTTGCTCTTTTGAGAGTATTGCTCTGTCGCCCAGGCTGAAGTGCAGTGGTGTGATCTCAGCTTACAACAACCTCCACCTCCCGGGTTCAAGTGCCTCAGCCTCCCAAGTAGCTGGGATTACAGGTGCGCACCACCATGCCCAGCTAATTTTTGTACTTTTTTTATGTGTAGATGGGGTTTTGCCATGTCAGTCAGGCTGGTCTCAAACTCCTGACCTCAAGTGATCTGCCCACCTTGGCTTCCCAAAGTGCTGGGATTACAGGCGTGAGTCACCGCACCTGGCCCCTGCTCTGTCTTTTAATTGCAGAGTAATTAAAAAATGGATTATCTCAGACTTTTTTTTTTTTTTGAGACAGAGTCTTGCTCTGTCACCCAGGATGGAGTGGCACAATCCAACAGGGGCACAATCTTGTCTCACTGTGACTTCCACCCCCTGACTCAATAAATCCTCCCACCTCTGCCTCCCAAGCAGGCGGGACTATAAGTACATGCCACCAAACCCAGCTAATTTTTGTATTTTCTGTAGACACAGGGTCTCACCATGTTGCCCAGGCTTGTCTTGGCCTCAACTGATCCTTCCGCCTCAGCCTCCCAAAGCGCTGGGATTACAGGCATGAGCCACCACACCTGGCTAATAATTGAAATTTAAATGTCAAAAATCAAGGTGGCTGGTAGTAGAAGGCAAAGTCATGGACATTTGCGACATAATGGTTTGTCATGTTCCCTACAGATTTCTTTAGAAAAAAAGTCAGCACTTACACAATAATGATAAGAAAACTGAACTCTCACTGTCCATCATGATGCTCATAAACTGACCTGGTTAGGGAAGGCTGCAAGGTTGAGGTTCAGGAAAGGATGTGATCTCATCCTTATGATAGAAATATGCACTGATAAGAGAAGTTAGAAAAATTCAGATTTTGGCCAGGTACAGTGGCACGTGCTTGTAATGCCAACACTCTGGGAGGCCAAGGCAGGAGGATCACTTGAGGCCAGGAGTTTGAGACCAGCCTGGGCAACAAAGAGAGACTCTGTCTCTATAAAAATATTTTTTAAAGAGAAAAGAAAGAAAAAGAAAAATTCAGATTTGAGCTGTGGAACTAGGCTCTTGTGTAAGCGGCACTGTGCCTAATGGCATGTTCACAAACAGACCGCTCAGTCCTGTCTGCATAGGGGAGAACCTTTCCACTTTCCCACTTTGGGAAAGATAGGCCATGCCACGCGGGTTCTCATCTTCTTGTTAAATTCCTCACTCCAGGGGTTGAGTGTCCCTAGGACTCACTGGTGGCCATGGAGACTGTAAATGGAGGTAAACAGGAGAGGAACTGGCTGACAGAGCTAGGGATTTCTGGCTCAGTGAGGAAAGCAGGGAGGTATTAGCGTGCATTGAACTTAGAGTTGCTGCGCAGGGCTTCTTAACTCACTAGAAGTCCCTGACTGGGCCACTGGTAGTTCTTTGGGACAAGAGGTCCTGCTTCATTTTTTCTCAAACTTTGTTTTTCATCATCATCCCATGCCAAGGAAACTTTTTTGAGACTTTTTTTCCTAATCACCCTCCCTCTTCCCCCGTGAAATTTTTATACCACGTACACACATACACACACACACACACACACACACAAACATATGTTCCTTGACCTACAATGGGATTACATTCAGATAAACCAACCGTAAACTGAAAATATAATTAATAGAAAATGCATTTAATACAGCTAACCTACTGCTATACTTGAGATGCTGTCCCTGCTAAATCTCATGTTGAATTGTAATCCCCAGTGTTGGAGCTGGGGTCTTGTGGGAGGTGACTGGATCATGGGGGTGGATTTCTCATGAATGGTGTAGCACCATCCCCTTGCCACTCTCCTCAAAATAGTGAGTGAGTTCTCTCAAGATCTGGTTGTTTAAAAGTATGGTGGTGGGGCACAGTGGCTCACACCTATAATCCCAACACTTTGGGAGGCAAAGGCAGGTGGATTGCCTGAGTTCAGGAGTTCAAGACCAGCATGGGCAACATAGCAAGACTCTCTCTCTAAAAAAAAAAAAAAAAAAAAAAAAAAAATATATATATATATATATATATATATATATTTTTTTTTTTTTTCCCCAGCTACTCGGGAAACTGAGACAGGAGGCTGGCTTGTGCTCCAGAGGTTGGGGCTGCAGTAAGCCATGGGTGACAGAGTGAGACCCTGTGTCAAAAACAAAAGTGCGTGGCATCTTCCCCGTCACTCTCTTTTGCTCCTGCTCTCCCCATGTGCCATGCCTGCTCCTGCTTCGTCCTCCACCATGAGTGAAAGCTCCCTGAGGCCTCCCCAGAAACCACGCAGGTGCCAGCACCATGCTTGTACACCTGCAAAACCATGAGCCAGTTAAATCTCTTTTCTTTATAAATTAGCCAGCCTCAGGTATTTCTTTATAGCAATGCAAGAACTGCCTAACACACCTACCAAACATTATATTACAGTTTGTACTGAATATGTATCACTTTCACACTGTCATAAACTTGAAAAATTATAAGTCGAACCATCATAAGTTGGGACCGCTTGTGTGTGTGTGTGTGTGTGTGTGTGTGTGTGTGTGTGTGTGTATACTGTGGCCCTTTGGAGAGCATTTGTGTAATATCTAAGATTTTTTTCACGCACTGCCACCAAGAATGGATTTTGACCCCTTTCGGGGAGATATAGCCCCAGTTGGGAATGCATGCCCTGGATGAAATGAAGGCTGTAGGCAGGGCCCTTCTGTTCACTCTGAGTGGCGAGGTTGATGACATGGAGTAAGTAGGTCAGGTGGCCCTATATCCATCATTAATCAGGATAGGCCCTGACCTCAGGTTCCAGCACTGCCCTGCTAGAGACGTCCTCCAAAATCACACTGTTCCTGCACCATCTGTTCAGCCTGCCTGCCCCGTCCTCCAGCCTCTGCTACATCTCCTCTCCATGGGTGGCAGCCCTCTGCCCAGTGGCCGGCTAGCTGTGGTAGACAGTGGAATGCTCCATCAAGTTGGCATTACTGAGGAAGTGCAGGCTGTCCCTGCCAGCAGTAACCCTGTTCCCATCCTGTCCTGCAGCCTTACCCGCCCCAGCTCTAGGCCTCTGTCCAGACGCCTCTCTCAGTGTTCTCCCTCTGCACGTCCTCCCCAAATGAAAGCATGGGGAATGGATTTCAGAGACCCCAGCACACAATGTTGACCATGGCTGGAACTCTCTGGAGCCTGGCATCCCTCATAAACAAGGGCCACAGGACACTGGCCTTCACCTCTTCCTGGCTCCAAGTGCATTCCTGGATGCCTTTATCCTTCTACTGTGAGCTGGAAACATAAAGCCAGTCACAGCATAAACCCCTTGTCTCACAATCCTATGGATTGTGCCCTAGGATGGTGACCTACTTTGTTTCTTAGAAGCCTTGTCTGGCCCCCTCTGACCTAGGTCATGGGCTTTCTCTGCCAAAAACTTGAGCAACTTAAGGGGCCACTGAGATAATACCATCTTTGTCTGCCTCACCTTTGTTGAACACCTGCTCTGTGCCAAGCACTGTGCTAAGCCTTTTCACATACATTACTTAATTCAGTCTTCACAATGGCCCTATGAGGTAAGTTCCCATTGTACAGATAAATAAACCCACAGAAAAGCTGAGTGACTTGCCAGAGGTCACACAGCTAGTAAGTGGTGAAATTAGGACTTAAACCCAGGTCTGTCTGAAATCCAAACCATTTACTGCATTGTCCCAGTTGAAAAAAACATTTTCCAGTTGTATGAATAGAAATAAAAATGACACAAGACCTTTATTGCCAGTGAAAAGACAGTGAATTTACCATTCTTAAAAGATGACAGAGCTGGCCAGGAGTGGTGGCTTGCACCTGTAGTCCCAGCTACTCAGGAGGCTGAAGTGGGAGGATTGCTTGGGCCCAGGAGGTTGAGGCTGCAGTGAGCCGTGATCGCGCCACTGTAACCCAACCTGGGTGACAGAGCAAGAGCCGATCTCAAAAAAAAAAAAAAAAAAAAAGACACCTAACAACAAGGGGCAGAGGCAGGACTTAAAACCAGGTACATATGACACCCATATCTCCTGCCTGTCAGTGATTAACCCTTGGAGGACAAAGAATGACTTTTACGTTCCCAGGCCCAGTCAGCTAGATACTCACGCCTCAGCCTCCTGCAGGCAAGAACAAGGCAGAAGCCCCATTTTTAGAACTTGGAAGAGAGCGCAGAGCAAGCCTGGCCCCTGGGCCAGCCTAAGTATGAGCCATCTCAGCAGCTGGCGCAGCCCTCCTTGAAACACTCTCCCTTGAAGAAATTCTGACCTAAACCCAGTGTAGCCAGCAAGGCTGACCCTGTTGGTGGAATCTGGTGGCCCCAGTATGGTGGTGGGAGGTAACAGAGACCCTGGTGGTTTACATTTGCCCTCTCTCCCTTTCCTGAACCCCTGGCAATATTCTTTTTTAAGAAATAATGCATTGACTTATGATTTAGTCATGTTTCATCCCATTTGCTTTTCCCTGGCTTCTAAAACCACAAGCATGGCTGAGGAATTCATGTCCACAGTGTAGGCTCTGAATAGCTTTGTGTAGGGAGAGGTTTTGAAAAGAGAAGAAAGTGGCATCTACTTGTGAGATGGAATGCATGAAGACATCGGGGAGGAATGCACGCGCTGTAACTGTTAGGGTCCCTCGGCAGTTTGGGTAGTGACTCATTCAGCGTGGGTACGGATTCCTAACAAGTGAAGCTTGGTAGTGACGTCATTCTTGCAAGATTGTCTGGAATCTGTTAGAGCTGCCTGACAAGATCTTACCTTGGAGACTTTCATCACTTGGGGGTTTTTCCCAGCTACACTTCATACCCATCATTTCCTCCAACTTGTCCCCTTTTCTATCAACTGGAATTTGGCAAACCAGAACTTTCATGCATCTGTTCCATTGTCATCCTCCTACAGGGCGTTCCTGGGACAGTGTGTGCTCCTCACCTCATCGCTCAGCACCCATCCTCCTGACAGTTCTTGGTTCGGTCAGTGCCTACCTCAGCTATGGTCCAGGCCTTGCACTAGGTCTCAGGACAGGGAGGTGATGAAGACAGGCGTGCTACCCTCAAGGGGAGGGCAGGGGGCAGCCAGAGGGCCTGAGACTGGTGGTTTCCGGGACAGCACAGTGCTTTGAACATAGTGCTAGGCAATAAATATGTGATGGCCAAGTTAATACCCAAGCTGAGTCTCCAAAAATGAGTATAGGAGTTAGTCTAGGGAAAAGTCCAAGCCGAGGTGTCTCCATGTACTGAGACCCGTAAGTGAATAGGAAGAAGTAAGTTCCTTAAGTGAATAGGAGGAAGTAAGAGATGAAACTGGAAAAGTGGTTTAGGGAACCTCGTGTGCCATGTTAAGAAGTTGATGCCACGGGGGCCACGTGGACAGATTTGCAGTAGTGTAGAGGATGGGCTGGAAGGGTCCAGACCGGAGGCAGGGAGACTGGCTTGGAAGTTAATGTGACCCTGTGAGGTGATGTGAACATTACTGGGGCAGTGGGGGTAGGAGTGGAGACAAGAGGACAGATTTGAGAAACATTTAGGATTTAAACTCGACAACTGGTGATTGATGAAGTATATGGGAAGGAGATGCCCAGGAGACCCCCAGGTTTTCAGTGTGGAGGTGCCACAAGCTGAAAAGATAAGAAGAGGTCCATGTTAAGGCAGAGTTTTGAGTTCATTTCGGCCGTGTTGAGTTAGAGTTGCCTGCAAGAGACATGAGCCAGGTTAAGCAGGCTCACGGGTGGTTAGATACACAAATCCAAAGACAGAGGAGAGTCTGGGCTAAAGATACTGATTTAGGACCCATTATATTCATAGCAGCTGAAACTGTATGGCTACATACCCCCCAACTTCCTTTCCTGCTCCATGTCTGTTTATCTAGGACTTGGGCGCCTACATGACCATTTTTCTCTCTGTCCCAATGCTGTCATGATGTGGGATGACTTCAGTGCCATGAGGATGAACCATTACCAAGTCTCATAGCTCCTAGATGCCCTCTATTCTGGTGACTCTTCACCTCCACTCCACTGCAGCCTCCCACTCCCATGACAACCTCCAGGACATTGCTAGTACCTCCTTGGAACCACTTCAGTTCTCCGGTAAAACCTCACATCCTCCTCTCTGAGCAGCCCCTGGCTTTCAACTCTTCTACGCCGTTCCCAGTTGTCTTAGTTCCCTGTACTTTCTCCTTGCCTGTTGACCCCCTCCTGACCTCTCTTCTTTCCTGATCCAGGTCAGACTCTCCGACTGTTCATCTGAAATATTCTTTCCTGAAACCTTTGATTCCTTTGTACCCCTGCTCCTCTCCCACACCTGCCCAGGACAACGCTAGTTCATGTTCTCTGCTCCTGCCACAAGCACACAGAGGAAAATGGACCCCCCATGCAGTGGAGCCTCACTGGAGCTTCATGGCCTTCCCTCTTCCATCCCTGTATTTCTTCATCACTATGGAAAACATAAGCCTTCCCATGGGGAAATGGGAAAATGTGGGCAGTCTCTTTCCCCCAAAATAGCTTCTCCATCTGCTCTGCTGCTGAATTCCTGCACAGATGACCTTGGTACAAATCTCAACTGCCATTTACCACCTTTTCTTTACACTGGGCAAGAGATTTAACCTCCTTGAATCCCAGTTTCCTCAGCGTAAAATAAAGATGGCCCAGGGTTGCTGCTGGCGTCTGTGACACCCTGTGCAAATTATTATAGAAGAAGCTGCCCCTCTTGCTAGGCACACAGCTTGGTGAGCTGGCCGTGGCCCACAGCCCACTCTCAGCCCTCAGCTGGGCACCCTTGCGCAATGCCACTTTGCCTAATCGCACACCGCAGCCCCAAATAAGCCTACCTCCCCTGGGTTCTGATGAAAACAAAGGCCATAACCTGGAAAGCACTCAGCAGAGAGCCTGACTCTGAGCAGAGCCTCAAAACAAAAGCTATCGCAGACCAGCAGACTCAGATTAACATGGAAGTGTGCTCTGCTGGGGATGTCACACATTTATGCCAGCTCCACAGCGTTTATTAGAGAGCAGAGCCTTAAGAAGCAGGGACATGAGTCAGGTACCTTCAGTGAAGGAACTAACCCATGGCCATAGTCAAGGGCCCAGGCAGGCAAGGGACAATGGGAGGGAGAGAGGAGTGAGGCAGCTATGGACAGACAGGATTGTCTGAAACGGAGGGGAAGGGAAATAAGAAACCAGCCTCCCTATGGCAACATTGCCTCGAGCCCTAGCAGCAGAGGCTGCCCACCCAGACCCATACCCAGCTCCAGGCGCTGCCTCAGGGGCTCCTGCCTCTCAGATTCTCCCCTTGGGGTCATCTCGCCAGCTGCTCATGAGTGTCATCTCTCACCAGCCCTGCTAAATCCTCAACCCTCCCCACCGGCACCCCTCCCACCCCCATTAGAAGGCTCAGGTATTCCATGGGGCCAGTTTTCCTGTCCTTGCGCTTCCCTGATTCCCCAGCTTCCTCAATGGGCACCACTAGAACTCAGAACCCAGAAGTGTCAAGGACCTCAGGAAGGCAGGGGTTTCAGATGCCACACCCACTCTATAAGAGCAGCTCTTCCTTAAGAGGAAATCACTGTGAGAAGGCAAAGGGTAGTAGCCACATGGGTATTATATTGAAGGAAGATGAATTATGCCATCACCCCTTTTGGCACAAAAATAATTTTCAGTAAAAGGTTAAAACCATCATGTTGTATCAATGAGAACTATTTCATTATTCCAAGAATGATTGACTGGAAAGTACTTGACTTACAGGAAAATCACAGTGATACAATACAGCTCCTACTTTTAAAGCACTTTCCGTTTAAAAAAAAAATCATACCAGTGTATAAAAATAGTTATACCGAAGATGTGAATCAACAGCCAAGTAATTTATTGGCACTTGAAAGCTTTGTGGTATAAATAGATTCAACAATGAGAATGTCAAGTAACTCTGGGCCATGGCAACCTAACCTTCATTTTCACTAACACAAAAGAAAGTCACGTGTAGTTCAGCAAGGGCCATCTGGTCACCTTAGAAGAGATCATGGGAAGAGAAGAACATGATAGAACCAGGACCAATAAGTCAGGTCAACTCAAAGCAAGGGACAAGGCAGCAGGAGAAACAGAGGGGACAGAAAAGTAGTCCCTGCCCTAAAGAGAGTTCAGATTGTCCCAGAGCGAAGGCTTGTACAGAAAACGTTCAGCACAATGAACTCAGAGTCCTAAGAGAAATACAAAGGGATTACAGGATGTCAAAAGGGAGGGAGACTCTTTTCAGCTTGATTTCCTTCCTTTTTCCCTCCCTCTTTGCCTGCTTGCCCCAAACCTTCACTGGGTGGTGAAACAGGATGGGAGCGGAATCACTGGGTCTGGGTACAAAGTGCAGCTCTGCCATTTACCAGCTCTGTGACTCTGGACAAATGACTGGATGTTTCTGAGACTCAATTCCCTCAAGTTTCAGTGGCGGGGGAGTGCAGGGTCAGTGTGAAGATGAAATGAGGTCAATGTTGTGTGTGTGTGTATATAAATACCCGGCTTTGCTGCCTCTTGATGAGGAGCAAACAGTAAAAGTTCACTCTCTTCCTTACCCTTCCACTCCTCTGTAAAGAGTACAAGGCCTTTTCTGCCCCTTTTATGTTTAAATTTCAAAGAGTTTTTCCACTGTTGGATGTAATGTGACTTTTCAGATCAGCCTTCTTGTCTTTGACCCGAAGGCCCCTGTCAGCCAGGAGCCTCCCTGCTTCTTTGTGGTTTGGGGCTCAGTAGTCCAACTGCTGCCCTCTTTGTGCAGAAAAACACAGAACCCCTGCATCTCACATCTGGTGAGAAGGTGGAGACTGGGGCAACTGAGAGACGGTCCATCAGCAAGCATTAATTGAACACACAGGACTTTTAAGGGATTGTAAAACTCTAAGGAGTCAGCAGGGAAAGACATGGACGAGATTTCCGACCTCTCGTAAGAGTTTAACACATGGAGATTGCCTCTGTCATGGTTCTTGGTTGAAAACAGAAGAAACCAGTGGTGGTCTTGGCACAGGGCGCTGGATACCATCACAACAGGACTGCCACTAACATCCCAGTCCTCAATTTTTTGTTTTTGGGCAATCAATGTCACAGCTAAAAAGTGTTCCTCCTGGGCTGGGCATAGTGGCTCACACCTGTAATCCCAGCACTTTGGGAGGCCGAGGCAGGCGGATCACCCAAGGTCAGGAGTTTGAGACCAGCCTGGCCAACATGTTGAAACCCTGTCTCTACTAAAAATACAAAAATTAGCCGGGCGTGGTGACACACGCTTGTAATCCCAGCTACTTGGGAGGCTGAGGCAGGAGAATTGCTTGAACCCGGGAGGCAGAGGTTGCAGTGAGCCGAGATCGTGCTATTGCACTCCAGCCTGGGCAACAAGAGCGAAAACTCCAGCTCAAAAAAAAAAAAAAAGAAAAAAAAACGAAAGTGTTCCTCCCAGTCCTCTCATTGTTTCATGGGGGTGTCATTGTCTAGTTCATGGTTACAACGGAAACTGCCTCAATGAGGTGGGTATTCCCAAGTGTGGGAAAGAGCTTCACTTCAGTCTACCCCGATTTGTAGCAGATGTCCACTTAATTAAAAAGAAAGAGAGAAATCATTCAGGGGTAGAAATTGGCCCATTTGCAAATTCACAAAGAGTGACTGATATTGATTTCTTTCTCACACTTGGGATTTTTAAAATTTCTTTATTATTATTATTATTATTATTATTATTATTATTATTATTATTTTGTGGGGGGGATGGAGTTTCGCTCTTGTTGCCCAGGCTGGAGTGCAGTGGCACAATCTCAGCTCACCACAACCTCCACCTCCCAGGTTCAAGCGATTCTCCTGCCTCGGCCTCCCAAGTAGCTGTTATTACAGGCATGCACCACCACGCCCGGCTAATTTTGTATTTGGTAGAGATGGGGTTTCTCCATGTTAGTCAGGATGGTCTTGAACTCCCAACCTCAGGTGATCCGCCAGCCTTGGCCTCCCAAAGTGCTGGGATTACAGGCATGAGCCACCGCGCCCAGCCCCCAAAACTTCTTTAATAAAATTTTTTATTTTTAAAAAGTAAAACTTACAGAAAATTTGCAGTAGCCCCATATACTCTTCACCTAGTTTCCCCAATATTAGCATTTTGCCACATTTGTTTTATTGCTTTCTCTCAAAATACATCAATATCATCCTTTTTTCTATTTGAGAGTAAGTCACAGACATCATGATTCTACCTCTTAATACTTCAGGATATGTCTCCTGAAAAAAAGGACATAACAAAAATACAATATAATTATCAAATTCAAGAAGTTTTACATGGAGATAATCTTATATGTACAGTCCTGTAATGTCCCAATAGTGGTTTTTTATCATTTTTGGTTCAGGATCCAATCCAAGACTACGTGTTACTTTAGTCTCCTTGAATATGGAACAGGTTCTTAAACTATGTTGTCTTTCATGACACTGATATTTTTTGAACAGCACAAGCTCATTGTTTTGTAGAATGTATGTCAATTTAGGTCTGTCTTACGCATTTGAGGCAGGAATACTACATCCGTGACCTTGTGTCCTTCTCCAGGCCCCACATCAGGGAGCAGTGGTGTCAGTTTGTCTTCTTATTGGTGATGCTACTGTTGGTCACTTGGTTAAGGTGGTGCCTAGCAGGTTTCTCAAGTGTACAGTTACTCTTTTTGCCTCTGTAATTAATACATAATCTGTGGGGGGATTATTTATAACTTGTAAATATCCTACCCTCATCCTACCTTTACCCAGCAGTGTTAATGCCTCCATTGATGATTCCTTCCTGAATCAGACAGCACTATGATTGTTGCAGAATAGTGACTTTTTAAAGGTTTTTACTAGCTGGCATTCTACTGTAAGGAAGAATTTTTCTTTCTCCAGTATATTTATTTATTTTATATCAGTATAGACTTGTGGATTCTTAATAACATTTAATGTGACTGTTAACAGTTTATCTATTTTCAGAATCCTTTAAGTAAATTGCTTTTGCATTTTGTGGATGAGTCAACCTAATTGCAGCCAGAGCTCTTTCCTGATGTGGGTTTGGCCATTTAATCTATGCTCCACTCTATAGCAAGGCCAACAGGAAATAGAATGCTGACCTTTTATAGGAATTGTTGGGTTAAGCACATAGGTTGTTGAAGTGTTTTGAGTAACTCTGGCAAAATGAGGTACTCTGGGAAGATATCATAAAGGAGCAGGGCCTTAAAGACAGCAAAGGGTTTTGAATGAAGGCCCAAAAAGGTAAAGAAGACTGGCAGGATCAATGGCTTCCAAACTAGACACAGAGAAAGGGGGACTTGGCAGGGCAAGAAGGAGTGGGAGAAGGTCAGAGTGTGAACCAGCAGTGAAGTGAACGTGCCCAGTCTGCGTGGAGGGTGTGCAAAAGAGCAAGGGAGGTCAAGGGAGGAAGTGGAAAAATAAATGAAGAAACGACATGTGTTAAGAGTTCTGTTCATTGATTTTAGGTAAAAAGATTGAGCACCAAGGGATGATAGATTCAGTGGAAGCAAAGCCATCAACTTTTAATTAGGGAAAAGACTAGAAATGCTTTTGGTCAGAAAGGAAAGAACTAACAGTTGCTTAGCTTTTATTTTTTAATTTCTCTCTTCTATTGAAAGTTGAGCTGTTTTTTAATGTTCACAAAATCCTTATGAGAGAGATGTTAATAACTTCATTTTATATATAAGAAAACAAAGTCACAGAGAATTTACATTAATTTCCCCAATGTCATAAAGCTAGTAAGTGGTGAGGCCAAGATTCACATACAGGTCTATCTTACTCCAAAGCCCACGCTGCCAGAAGAAAGAAATCTTTAGACTGGAAGAGCAGAGGTGGAATTGGAGCTCTCAATATAAGGACAAGTAACTTCCCATATGCCAATCAAAACACTTAAGCATGGCCCACAGTAAATCTCAGTAATTATCTCAACCACACGCTTTGGAGTAAATCAATAGTAAACCCAGGAAGTAACTGTCAAGGTTTTCAAACCTGACATTCCTGTATAACTCAATACACATACCCACCCCTCTGCCTTCTTAAAAAATAAGTTGTATTAGATATAATTTTTATACAATAAGATTTTACCCATTTTCAGTACATGATTCAATGAGTTTTGATGAATGTATACAGTCATTTAATCACCACTATAATCATAACCTAGAGTATTTTCATCACCCCAGAAAGTTGCTGTGCAGTTCCTTTGCAGTCAGTACTCCCCAGCCCCTGGCCTGCTTTCTGTTGCCACATTTTTACCTTTTCTAGGATTTCATATAAATGAATTGATATTAGTTGGGGTTCACCAGAGAAATCAGACCAAGAAGAGAGATGTATACGTATATGTATATGTATATGTATATGTATATGTATATGTATATGTATATGTATATTTAGTGTGTGTGTGTGTGTGTGTGTGTGTGTGTAGATTTATTATGGGAATTGACACATGCAGTTATGGAAGCCATGAAGGCCCACGATCTGCAAGATGGAGAACTAGGAAAGCCAGGGGTACAATTTAGTCTGAGGTCAAAGGCCTGAGATCCCAGTTAGTGTGCTGAGGGAGAGGGGAGAACATAGATGTGCTAGCTCAAGGAGAGAGAGAAAGAATTTGCCCTTCTGCCTTTTAGTTCCATCCACGCCCTCAACAGATTAGAAGATGCCTGCCCACATTGGTGAGGATCAATCTTCTTTACTCAGTCTACAAATTAAAATGACAGTCTCTTCCAGAAACACTGTCACAGACACAGAAACATTATTTCTATTAAACAGAAATAATGTTTAACCAGCTATGTGGGCATCATTCAACCTAGTCAAGTTAACACGTAAAATTCACCATCACAAAACTCATACAATATGATATGTAGTCTTTTGTGCCTGGCTTCTCCCACTTAGCATAATTCTTTTGAGATTCATCCATGCTGTTTTATCAGCAGTTCCTTCCATTTTATTGCTAAGTAGTATTGCCTTGTCTGGATGTGCCACAGTTTGTTTATCCATTCTTCAGTTCTACAACATCTGGATTGTTTCCAATTTGGAGTGATTATAAATAATGCTGCTGTAAACATTCACATGTAGGTCTTTATGTGGACATATACTTTCATTTCTTTTGGATAAATAGCTAGGAATAGAATTGCTGGGTTTTATAAATATATGTTTAACATTATTAGGAAACTGCCAAACTATTTTCCAAAGTGTCTGTATCATTTTGCATTCCCACAAGCAATGAATAAGACTTCTCGTATCTCCACATTTACACCAACCATTGGTACTTTCAGCTTTAAACATTTTAGTCTTTGTACTAGGTATATAATGCCATCTCACTGTGTTTTGAATTTGCATTTCCCTAGTGTCTGATGATATTGAGCATCTTTTCATATACTTATTTGGCATATGCATGATGAAGCTTCTTTGATGAAGCTTCTGTTCAAATCTCTTGCCCATTTTTATTGTGTTGTTGGTCTTATTGGATTGTATTATTGAGTTATAACAGTACTTTACTAGATACATGTTTTGCAAATATTTTATCCCAGTCCATGGCTTATCTTTTGATATTCTTTTGAAGGGCAGAGGCTTTAAATTTGGATAAATTTCAGTTTATCAGGTTTTTTAATCTTTGTGCTTTTGGTGTCCTAAGAAATCTGCCTAGCACAAGGTTACAGCTTTTCTCCTGTCTTCTTCTAGAAGTTTGTTGTTTCAACTCTTACATTTAGGTTTGTGACCCATTTTGAGTTAATTGTTGTCTATGGTGTGAGGTAAGGGTTTGTGTTCTTACATATGGATATCCATTTGTCCCAGAACCATTTGTTTAAAAGACTGCCCTTTCCTCCATTGAATTACTGGGTACAGGTTGCGTTTCCCTAATCCAAAATCTGCAATCCAAAATGCTTCAAAATCATGGGCCAGGTGCAGTGTCATCCCTGTAATCACACTTGTAATCTCAGCACTTCAAGAGGCCAAGGCAGGTAGATCCCTTGAGCCTAGGAGTTCAAGACCAGCCTGGGCAACATGGTGAAACCACATCTCTCTCTCTCTCTCTCTCTCTCTCTCTCTACATATATATATACATATATATATATATATATATATACACATATACATATATATATATATACACACACAAACACACACACACACACTCTATACACACACACACACACACACACACACATCAGCTGGCCAGGCATGGTGGTTCACGCCTGTAATCCCAGCACTTTGGGAGGGCGTGGCGGGTGGATCACGAGGTCAGGAGCTCGAGATCAGGCTGGCCAATATGGTGAAATCTCATCTCTACTAAAAATACAAAAATTAGCCAGGCGTGGTGGCAGATGCCTGTAATCCCAGCTACTTGGGAGGCTAAGGCAGGAGAATTGCTTGAACCTAGGAGGCGGAAGTTACAGTGAGTCAAGACAGCACCATTGCACTCCAAACTGGGCTACAGAGTGAGACTCTGACTCAAAAAAAATTTTTTAAAAAGGCCAGGTGTGGTGGCACACATCTATACTCCCAGCTACTTGGGAGGCTGAAGTGGGAGGATTGCTTGAACCCAGGAGGCGGAGGTTACAGTGAGCCAAGATCATGCCACCACACTCCAGCCTGGGCAACAGAGTGAGACCTATCTCAAAAAAAAAAAAAAAAAGCTTCAAAATCTGAAATTTTTTTAGTGCCGACCTGATCCTCAAAAGAAATGTTCATTGGAGTATATTGGATTTCAAATTTGTGGATAAGAGATATTCAACCAGTGAGTATAATGCAAATATTCCAAAAATCCAAAAAAAAAGATCTGAAATCCAAAACATCTCTGGTCCCATGTATTTCAGATAAGGGATACTCAACCTATACCTTTGTTGGAAATAAGTTGACCATATATTTGTGGGTCTGTATCTGGACTCTTCTATCAAGTTATCAAGTGAGCTACGTGTCTATCCTTATGTCAGTATCTCTCTGTCTAATTACTGTAGCTTATGGTAAGCCTGGAAACTTTGTTCTTTTTCAAAACTGTTTTGGCTATTCTAGGTCATTTCCATTTACATATACATTTTAAAATCAGTTTATTAATTTACAATAGTTGGCAGCTGGGATTTTTATTGGAATTGCATTAATCTATAGATCAATTTGGGGAGAATTTATATCTTAAGAATATTGAGTTTTCCAGTCCTTGAAACTCTCACCATTTGTTTTTCTTTAATTTTTCTTTTACTTTCCATAGCAAGAGTGGATAGATCTTACACATATTCAGTTAAATTTAGCCTTAAATACTTCATTTTTAAAATGCTGTTGCAAATGTTTTGATAACTTTGAGTTCTTGTTCATTGCTAACATATAGAAATAGAATTGGTTTTTTTCGCTCTGTTACCCAGGCTGGAGTGCAGTGATGCGATCTTGGCTCACTGCAAGCTTCACCTCCCAGGTTCACACCATTCACCTGCCTCAGCCTCCCGAGTAGCTGGGACTACAGGTGCCTGCCACCATGCCCAGCTAATTTTTCTTGTATTTTTAGTAGAGACGGGGTTTCACCATGTTAGCCAGGATGGTCTCGATCTCCTGACCTTGTTATCCACCCGTCTCGGCCTCCGAAAGTGCTGGGATTACAGGCGTGAGCCACCGCGCCTGGCTGCAGTTGGTTTTTTATAGTGACCTTGTGTCCCGTTACCTTGCTAAACCTACTATTTCTAGTAGCTTTTTGGCTGGACTTCTTAGGATTTTCTACGTAGGTCATTATGTCATCTACAAAGAAAAAGTGTTTTACTTCTTCCTTTTCAATCTGTATGCCTTTTCTTTCTTTTTTTTCCCCTGTCCTTTTGCACTGGCTAGGCAATCCAGTACAATGTTGAGTAGAAGTAGTGAGAACAGACATCTTTGATTGTTCCCAATATTAGGGAGGAAGCATTCAGTCTTTCTGGTTGAGTATGATGTTAGCTGTAGATTTTTCATAAATGCTCTTTATCAAGAAGATCAAGTTACACCTTATTTCTAAATTTGCTGAACTTTTATCATGAATGAATGTAGAATTTTGTCATATGCTTTTTCAGCTCCTGTTGATATAATCATAAGGTTTTTAATATTACTGAATTACACTGATTTTTTAAAATGTTAAACCAATCTTGCATTCCTGGGATAAATTCTACTTGGTCATGATGCATTATCAGATATTTTATATATATATATACACACACATATATTTATTTAATTTGCTTTAAAAAGTTAAGGTTTTTACATCTATATTCACAAAGGGTATTGATCTTGTTTTCTTGCAATGTCATTGTCTGGTTTTGGTATCATGGTGACACTAGCATTATAGTGTTTCCTTGGCTCTGCTATTTTCTTAAAGAATTTGTGTAGAATTAGGATTACTTCTCACTTAAATGTTTGCAAGGATTATCCAGCGAAGCCATCTAGTCTAGAGTTTTCTTTGTTGGGAACCCCTTATTTTTAATATAGGAAGGACTTATCTTCTATTCCCTATCAACACAGTGTGTAGGCCAGGCACAGTGGCTCGTACCTGTAATCCCAGCACTTTGGGAGGCCAAGGCGGGAGGATCCCTTGAGCCCAGGAGTTTGAGACCATGGGAAGACCCTGGCTATTTATTTGTTTTATTTGTTTGTTTGGACAGGATCTCACTCTTTCGCCCAGGCTGGAGTGCAGTGACATGATCACGGCTCACTGCGGGCTTGACATCCCTGGGCTCAGGTGATCCTCCTGCCTCAGCCTCCCAGGTAGCTAGGACTACAAGCACACACCACAGTGCCCAGCTAATTTTTATGTTTTTTGTAGAGACAGGGCTTCACGACGTTGCCCAGGCTGGTCTTGCTCCCAGTGTGCTGGGATTACAGACGTGAGCCGCCGTGCCTGGCCAACCTCATCTCTACAAAATATAAAAAGATTAGCTGGGTGTGGTGGTGCACACCTGTGGTCCCAGCTACTCAGGAGGCTGAGGTGGAAGGATTGCTTGAGTCTGGGAGACAAAGGCATCAGTGAGCTATGATTATACTACTGCGCTCCATCCTGGGTGACAGAGCAAGACCGTATCTCAAAAGAAAGAAAGAAAAAAGCAACACATGTTGTAGCCCTGAGAATGAAGGGTAATCAAGTTGTGAGAATCGTTGCTGCCTAAATAATGCTTCCAGCACACACAGTTCCACCAAGCCCTGTGTTTCCCTGGCCTTGGCTGTAGTGGAAGGGAATTTAAGTGATTTTAAGAGTGTTTTCAGGTGTGGGTACAATATTTTTTAAACTTTCTTTCTTTTTTTTTTTTTTTTTGAGACAGTCTCACTCTGTCGCCCAGGCGAGAGTGCAGTGGCACGGTCTTGGCTCACTGCAACCTCCACCTCCCGGGTTCAAGCAGTTCTCTGCCTCAGCCTCCCGAGTAGCTGGGATTACAGGCACCCACCACCACGCCCGGCTAATTTTTTGTATTTTTCGTAGAGACGGGGTTTCACCCTCTTGGCCAGGCTGGTCTTGAACTCCTGAACTCATGATGTACCTGCCTCGGCCTCCCAAAGTGCTGGTATTATAGGCATGAGCCACCGCGCCCAGCCATATTTTTAAAACTTTCTAAAAAACCTTGTCTGCAGCCAAAAAATACCCTGCTAGCTAACAGAGGGTTAGGTAGACCTGATTTCTATCGGCAATGCCAGAATGTCTCCTTTCCACCTTGTGCCTCCACTCTGGTCAGGGTGCAAGGTAGGGAGGCACAGAGGCGTGGCTAACCTATTCATACTCTTATTATCTGAAACTTTTTTGGAAAAATATTATAAGCTTATAGCAAATCAAACAATATAAAAGTATATAAAGAAGAAAAGACCACTGTCCCTGTACCTTGCACATAAGAAAACCAAATATTCACAATTTGATACATATCCTTCATTTTTCTCTATATTCTTTAAAAAAATACACATATGCTCATATAGATAGGTATTTGTCTTTCTCATTCTTTTATTTCTTTTCCCCCAAATGGGATCATGGATGCTGAAACCTCATTTTTTCACTTAACTAATGGACATTTCTCCAAGTATGTGCTTCTGTTGCTAGACTTTTCTCATTAATAGCTGCATACTTTTCCATAATAAGAATGTACCAGTTTATTCATCCTATTTGATAGACAATCAGATGGTTTCCAGCGTTTTGCCTTTGAAAATAATGCAGCAATAAGCATCTTTGTACCTATATTCCTATATTACAGGAGCTTTTCCTTCTGTAGGAGATTCCCAGGAGCAGGATTGAAATTGTTGAATCAAAGAGCGTTACACATTTTCTTTCTTTCTTTTTTTTTTTTTTGAGATGGAGTCTCGCTCTGTCACCCAGGCTGAAGTGCAGTGGTGTGATCTCGGCTCACTGCAACCTCCATCTCCCAGGTTTAAGCAGTTCTCTGCCTCAGCCTCCCAAGTGGCTGGGATTACAGGCACCTGCCACTACGCCCGGCTAGTTTTTGTATTTTTAGTAGAGACAGGGTTTCACCATCTTGGCCAGGCTGGTCTTGAACTCCTGACCTCGTGATCCACCTGCCTCAGCCTCCCAAAGTGCTGGGATTACAAGCATGAGCCATCGCACCCATCCGAGCGTTACACATTTTCTAGTCATTACCATCTTTTCGTGTGTTTATTACCTACCATATACATTTCCTTTTCTGAAATTGCAGGCCTATATCTTTATTCATTTTTATCCTACATTTGTCTTTTTCCTAGCAGTCTGAAGATATTCTTTGAATACTGAGGATATGTTACATGTATTGCAAGGATTTTCACCAAATCTGTACTTTTTCACTTGGCTTTATTTATAGTATCTTTGGACATATAATTTTTAAAATATGTTTATAAAATTAAAAACCTGTTATTTTTTTCATGTCTTTTTGTGTTTACTGACTTGCTTATGTTTTCCGTCTGGGGTTATACAAAAATATTCATCAAAATTTTCATCTTATTATTTTACTGTTTTGTTTTTTACATTCAAGACTTTAGCTAGAATTTAATTTTGTATGTAATGTAAGGAGGAGTCAAGACTTGGCATCTGGGAGTTTGCCGTAACTCTTCATATCTTGTGGCATTTTCCATGTTTTCATAATAACCCTCCAGTCAGCTCATAGTTCCTCAGGTTTCAGGCCTTTCCCATGTTGGCTGCTGTGCTGCAAACTGAGAGTGGGAAGGAACCATGTCTGTCTCTTTCTCCATTGCATCCTTCAGGAAGGACCAGTAAATGTTGCAAAGCACCTAGCATAGGGCCTAACACATTTTAGGCACTCAGACAACATTCATGGGGGGAATGAAAGTTGCATTCACACCGCATTACTATCACCCCTTGGCAAGTTTAATATTGATGGCTTTGTCTGTGTAAACAAGGGGAAATGTCATTCTCCTTAACGCCACTCATGGTCTCATGAGCTCACTCTGGTCCTTCCTCCTTCTGTGTCTTTATTCTTTGAGGTCTGCCTTCTCTTTATAAATCTGGCTCATTCTATAAGGACTCCCTTCTGGCAGAGGCAAGGTGGGGGGCGCTTTCTTCAAACCCCTTCTTAAAATCTAACAGTACTTATAAATTCTGCAATACTATTTAGCATTTAATCCACAATGGATTTTAGTCCTTTTCTAGCACCCATCACTGTGCTGGGCACATAGCCCATTAAATACATCAACTGTGACTGAAACAATCTTGCATGCCAAGGTTCTTTAAAAAGCCTGAGGTATAGCCTCAAGATTTGTTATGAAAGCCCTTAGGTCTAAGGAACAACAAACTGGGAAGAGGTAGAAAATGACCCTGAGAGGCCGGGCGCGGTGGCTCACGCCTGTAATCCCAGCACTTCGGGAGGCCGAGGCGGGCGGATCACGAGGTCAGGAGATCGAGACCATCCCGGCTAAAACGGTGAAACCCCGTCTCTACTAAAAATACAAAAAATTAGCCGGGCGTAGTGGCGGGCGCCTGTAGTCCCAGCTACTTGGGAGGCTGAGGCAGGAGAATGGCGTGAACCCGGGAGGCGGAGCTTGCAGTGAGCCGAGATCCCGCCACTGCACTCCAGCCTGGGCGACAGAGCGAGACTCCGTCTCAAAAAAAAAAAAAAAAAAAAAAAAAAGAAAATGACCCTGAGAGCTGTTGAATACAAGAATGGTTTTTCTTTTTTTTTTTTTCTTTTTTTTTTTCTGAGACAGAGTCTCGCTCTGTCGCCCAGGCTGGAGTGCAGTGGCACAATCTCAGCTCACTGCAAGCTCCACCTCCCGGGTTCAGGCCATTCTCCTGCCTCAGCCTCCCAAGTAGCTGGGACTACAGGCGTCCACCACCTCGCCCGGCTAATTTTTTGTATTTTTAGTAGAGACGGGGTTTCACCGTGTTAGCCGGGATGGTCTCGATCTCCTGACCTCGTGATCCGCCCGCCTCGGCCTCCCGAAGTGCTGGGATTACAGGCGTGAGCCACTGCGCCCGGCCTAAGAATGGTTTTTCAAGTGAGACTGTGTAGTCACATTTAAATTGTCCTGAACACAATTGTTAGACAAACACGAGCAGGTATTGCTCTGTCCAAAGGCACAGGTCCACAGACTTTCTCAGGACGTTTTCTGTTTCCATGGCCTTCACCAGCTTGGATCTTTGGAGCTTCAGAGAAAATGGAAAGAAACTTGATGTGTCCCTATATTTGGTTTAGAAATAATATCAAATGGCTCTCAGCTCTTTCTGCGTGCATTTTTAATGAAGAAACGGCTAATTCTAGGGCTAGGGCAGGGACTATACAAGATGACCCTGGAGCATCTTGGGGGATTTTGTTTGTTTTGTTTTTGTAGAGGCGAGGTTTTGCCATGTTGCCCAGTCTGGTCTCAAACTCCTGGGCTCAAGCCATCTGCCCACCTCATCCTCCCAAAGTGCTGGGATTACAGGTGTGAGCCACCACGCCCGGCCCCCTGGGGCATCTTGTAATGCCAGAAAGTACTCAAAACCAAAAGGATGGGCGTATGTCAAAGGGACACAGGAGCCAACTGGAAAAGCTCCCAATGGCCAAAGCTGGAACAATTCGAACAACAAAATAATATAGCATTGAATTATAGCCCAAAGAATAAAACAACCATGAGTTCATACTGATATAAATGACTGAATAAATAAATGGAAGAGACCAATCTCCCATGCAGAAGAACTCCCAATAATTTATGTAGAAACTCCACCCTTAAGGAGATAGAGCATAGAAACCCCACCCTTAAGGAGATAGAGCATAACTTCAGGGAATAATTCCCCAACCCTTAAGAGTGGAATACATGTAATGCCTTGCTTTCCAACATGAAAAAAAAAATTAAAATTAAAGAAACAAAGAGTACAACATGAAAAAAGGGAGCAAAGTAACTTTACAGTGGAGAAACTTGGCAAAGACTACCTTAGCCAGGTGACCAGGGTTAACACCATCAGTAAGAAGTCATGTTGATCATATGTGCCCTTAATATGATGTGATGAAAATGACATTTCACCTCTGTGGTCTTCCAAAAACCATAACCACAGCCTGTAAGAAAAACGGACATATCCCAATTAAGGTATGTGCTACAAAATACATAACCAGTTCTCCTCAAAACTATCAAAGTCATCAACAACAGCCAAGTGCAGTGGCTCACACCTGTAATCCCACCATTTGGGATGCTGAGGCAGGAGGATTGCTTGAGGCCAGCAGTTCAAGACCAGGCAGGCCAACATAATGAGACCCTTTTTTTTTTAATTAAAATTTTTAAAAATTAGCTAAGTGTTGCACATGCCTGTAGTCCTGGCTACTTGGGATGCTGAAGCAGGAGGATTGCTTGTGCCCAGCCAGGGGTTCACTCAGGAGTTGAGCCCAGGCTGCAGTGAGCTATGATTGTGCCACTGCACTTCAGCCCAGGCAACAGAGCGAGACCATGTCTCTTTAAAAAAAAGAAAAAAAAAATCATCAAAAACAAAGAATGTCTAAGAAACTATCACAGCCTACAGGAGTCTATGGAAATATGACGATTAAATGTAATATGGTATGATGGATGGGATCCTGGAACAGAAAAAGGACATTAAGCAAAACTAGTAAACTCTGAAAAAAGTATGAAGTTCACTTAATAATATATTATTTCTTTAGTGGTGATAAATGTACCACAGTAAGGTGTTAACAGAACTGGGTCTGAGTACGTGGAAACTCTGTATTATCCTTGTACCTTTTCTGTAAATCTAAAACTAAAATTAAGTTTACTTAAATATCTTTAAAATATGCAGTTTGGGCAACAGATTGACTACATGCTTATCTTCAAAACTGTGCTTTCAATTACAGGGTGCTGGTGACAGCTTTGTGGGAGCTCTGGCCTTCTACCTGGCTTACTATCCAAATCTGTCCTTGGAAGACATGCTCAACAGATCCAATTTCATTGCAGCAGTCAGTGTCCAGGCTGCAGGAACACAGTCATCTTACCCTTACAAAAAAGACCTTCCGCTTACTCTGTTTTGATTGCTATTAGTCCCAAAATAAATATACCTGGGAATAAAATGTACTTGGGGGTGGCTGCTCCTGGCTAATGCTTATTAGAAAATGTCCTCGTCCCCTTTCTTTGCAAATATTAGTTCTTTTACGAAGTCATCCTCAAGCTTCAATTTATTTATAACGATGATTCTTTTGCTTTCCATGCATTTGCACAAAACAACCAGAATTAAAGATTCCACAACCAAGATCTGTACAAACATAAAGACAAGTAACCTCAATTGTCAACAGATTGTTAATGCCCCATGTGCACCATATGGCAGGGGTTGTGGACAACAGTGTCTAGAGTCAGAGCAGACTCTTCTTAAATAAGGGAAAGGGCACTTTCTAAGAGGGGCAGCTGATACTCAACTTCAGCTTAGTGTTGTCAACGCCTCTGGTTTTGTAAGGGAAGGCAGAAGTTTGGATATTTATTGAAACCCTTCAATGTTTATGTATCAGCAACTAATTTTTTTTTAAATGTAAACACCACAGGGGCATGGTGGCTCACGCCTGTAATCCCACCACTTTGGGAAGCAAGGCAGAAGAATTGCTTGAGCCCAACATGGCAAAACCTCATCTCTACTAAAAATACAAAAAATTAGCCAGGTGTGGTGGCACACACCTGTAGTCCCAGCTACTCAGGAGGCTGAGGTGGGAGGATAACATGAGCCTGGGAGTTCAAGGCTGCAGTGAGCTATGATCACACCACTACACCCCAGCCTGGGTGACAAAGCAGACCCTATATCAAAAAAAAAAAAAAAAAAAAGAAGTAACCACCACCTATGGGCCACATTCAACCCATGGGCTGAATAAGTAAGTCATTTGTTAAACCAGGTAAGTTTTTTTTTTTTTTAAGCAATTCATGCATGTCACAGACCCTTTACATCAGCTTAGCTAGGATCAGGTGAAAGATTTTTCTTGTAACTCAACACTATATACAGTTTCAGCCTAAAAAGAGCCAAGATCTCACCTATTATTACTTTGAACCAGAGCTTTATCAAAAGATGCCATAAAATAGCTGATTGACCATGAGGCCACAAGCCCTAAGACTCATCAACTATCTGCCTCTAATTCCACTGCCAGAGAGCTGCTCTTACATTTCCCTCAGAGCCAGGTTTGGGCCATGGAGAAGGAACTTCTTATTTTGTAGTCAGGGTGGGCACTGTATCATTCTCCCACACAAATGCTTTAAATGGGGTAGGATGTGAACCAACAGATCTTAAAATGAGCAGATCCTTTTCAACCGGGAACTTGACAAAGGAGAAAACTGGACAATTTTCAAAACTTGTGGGAAACAACAGCCTGAGTGAGAAAGTGTATGGCTCTGGGCAGGAGAGAGGTCCGTATCTGAACATTAGGGATTGCTCCCAGAATTCCATGCTAGTTAGCTGTGTGGTACCACCATGCCCCAGAAGTCTTAGCAGTGGCTTTATTGAAACACTATACCTTCTTTTATTTTAAAAGGAAAGAAAAATCTAGGGAATAAAGGAATCCAAAGCTGTCCCAGAAAATCCTAGATACTGCTTTGGTGATCTGGGTTTGAAAATATAGGCCTGTGGCATTTTTCCTAATTATATAAGCACAAATCAGAAATAGAGGTTCTCTTGGTTTGTGTTACAAGGCTCCTCTTTTTGTCATTCCTGGTCCCCCTTGCCATCTCTGTTATTACATGGGAGTTTCTTCAAGATCACTCTGGAATGTTACTCTGCCTTTTCTCTGAGTACAGAGGGAGCAGGCTGGAAACTCTTACATAAGTGTTGTTATGGAAACATTTATTACATGGAACAATGGTTATTTTTTAGTAATGTGGTTGATTTTTAAAACATCAAATAGTGGGGAAAAACATCACTAAGACACAATAGCACAGGCTATTTTAATATTTTTTATTAAGGGCTATAAAAATACCCAGAAAGATAAATAAATGTGATGCAATGATATCTGTCCTAATATGAAGAACTTTCTTTCACTGCATTGTTTTCCTTCACAATGGCCTTCAAATCACAGGAGGCAGTGATTCCATGCCATTTCCTCTTCTTTTATTACACGCTACAGGATTTCTGAATCAGTATCCCCGCCCTCAGTCTTCTCTTTATAAATCAAAGTCATTTTCAATCCACCGTTTAAAGGGAGCGTATTTTTTTCTTTTCCACGAAGAGGACTCTTTGTTTCACTATGGAGGGAGAAAAAAAAATTGTGGCAGAAAATTATTAAGTATCATCGCCATTTTTATAAAAAATACATATCAGACCATAAGCCCTCACCTTTCTCTTATTTTACTATTCCTTGATATGAAGATGGAGCTGATTTGCAAACTCAGTTCCTCCATCCCAGGAGCCAGGGCAGACTGGAGAAAATGGCTATAGGGCCACTAGCTAATCAGCAGCATCCTTGGTATGCCACAAGTCATATTCAACCAATGAAGAAATATTCACATTAAGAAAGAAAACTAGGGACAAAAATGGAAAACAATGTTTTCACCCAATTAATGTCCACTCTTGTAGGAGGTAAGCAAGGACAGACTGGGAGCTGGACTCCAGAAAGAGAGCAGCAAGAACCAAGTGGACCACGCTGTCTGGAAGAGTAATAGACACTAAACCTCTACTTCCCAGAGATGGGTTAATACACCCAAATACGGAGTTTTTAGTTTGGTACTATAATTAATATCATAACCAAAATCTCATTATTGTAAATATTAGAGTACAGTTCTCTGAAACAAAGTGCTACCGGCCTGGATGAAACACTGAAGGCTAGCTGGGCGCAGTGACTCACACCTGTAATCCCAGCACTTTGGGAGACCGAGGTGGTCATATCACCTGAGGCTGGGAGTTCAAGACCAGCCTGGCTAACATGGAGAAACCCCATCTCCACTAGAAATACAAAATTAGCCAGGCATGGTGGTGCATGCCTGTAATCCCAGCTACGCGGGAGGCTGGCGCAGGAGAATCACTTGAACCCGGGAGGCAGAGGTTGCAGTGAGCCGAGATCGCACCATTGCACTCCAGCCTGGGCAACAAGAGTGAAACTCCGTCTCAAAAAAAAAAAAAGAAAAGATTGAAGACTAGATGCTGAGCAGTAAGGCTTTCATATTTCTATAATGCCTTATGGCACTCGATTAACTTCCATCTCTCTCACACACACACCCACACACCCACACACACACACACCCCTACCTATTTCCTCTTTGCTAAAACAAAAACAAGAAAACACCAGAAATGGAATAATCACCCAAGGAAGATCCAGGAACTTAAACAACTATGACCTAACAATTCCTCACTTGTCCCTATCATACAGACATTTTAGCTTTTTTCTTCTACAGTCAATATGGATACTCTGCATATGAGATTCCCAAGCTATCTACGACTAAGAATGAGCTTATCTAAGTAAGTCCATTCTCACCTCCACTCCTACCTTAATTCTGGTTTAGTAGGGCTAGAGTTGGACTGAAGTCTACATTTTTTAAAACTACTCAATTGATGGGCAGCTGAATTTAAGAATCATTAACCTGTCAACAGAATTTATCTATGATATTAATACACTGTACATAAGGGATCTTTTTAACATACTTCAAATCATGTGAAATGTAAGTAGGATTGATCCTCCTAAAACTCCAAGGAGGACTACAATGCATTAATGCATTACAAGATGGTAGTAAAGAACCAAAACAGTTTCTCATCTATATTACGACAAGAAATATTTCCCCCATGGTTTTCTACAGGGAACTAAAAACTTGGTTTAAAAAAAGGCGGGGGGTAGGGGGGTTGTCTCACTGAAAAGCAATCTGGAGACTATTTAAATGACCCTGACTAGGAGTAACTGATTAAGGTTAGTAGAGCAAGGCTATATTGAGTAGAATTCTTTGATTCATTCACTGCACCTATTCCTTTAACTCAAAGAATAAAATATTTAAGTCCATAGAACTGTGCTAGGCAATGTAGAGTTTACAAAAGTGTAAGAAGACTCCCTGATTTAATACATCAGTACATCATGAGGTGCCCACACAAATGTCCAGTAAACCCCAGAGGAACCTAAAGGTCAGAAAGGGACAGGAATGGTGACAGAAGTCCTCATGGAAAGTGTCAAGTTTGGTCCCTGAAGACAGATCAGCATTTGGATTAAATGAACCAGGAATGGGCATCTGGTTTAGTAGAGGGATTGGTGATAGGAGTCTCAGTGGGGATCCATGGCCTGACCACAGGGATGGGTCTTGATTAAAAAAAAAAAAAAAAAAAAAGTTTTAGATTAATTTGGCTCCATGTAAGAGACAGAACAGGGACTTGGCCAGGAATGGTGGCTCATGCCCATAATCCCAGCACTTGGGAGACTGAGGTAGGAGGATTAGTAGAGGCCAGGAGTTCCAGACCAGCCTGGGCAACACAGAAGACACTGTACAAAAAAAACCAAAAACCTATTTTTAAATTAGAAGGGCTAAGCACAATGGCTCAGGCCTGTAATCCCAACACTCTGGGCAGCCAAGGTGGGCGGACTGCTTGAGCTCAGGAGTTCGAGACCAGTCTGCACAACACAGACCCCATCTCTATTTTAAAAAATTAAATAAATAAATACATAGAAGAACAGGGACTTGAGTGAGAAAGACTCGGTTCCAACTCTGGCTCCACCATTTATCAGCTATGAATCCCTGGGAAAATTTCTCAAAGTACTCTATCCTGCTTTCTTCCCTGTGGGAGAGATAACTATCTCCCTCACAAGGTTGTTGCTGGACACATAGTGCGCACTCAACACTGAGTTGAAATGACACACTGCTACCCACAATTGTAAACATGAATTAATTTTCTGTCAAAATATTTGCTGCTTAATTCATAGAAGAATGAATCTGTCAAGTTCTCTCCCTACATCTAACCAAAATCGATTCTGCTTCAATTACAGTCTATATTGTCTTGTTTAGTCATCCAAGGAATTAAAACTGACAAGTTTTCATTCTCTTTATGATAAACCTTCAATATATTTAAGAAAGTTTAATAAGCTCATGCCTCAGCCTTTAATCCTTCCTCTTCGGAAATTAGCATCTAGTTTTATACGTGGAAAAGGAATTCGAAAGGATAGGCACATGCAGCTGCTTCTTGCCACAGACTATATTATGAAATGCTCAAATAATTGGGAATTTTTTCACGTTTCCTTACCTATTTCCTTCATAAAGCAGACCAACAATCATCGTCCTCAAACTTAACAATTTACTCATCACAGTAAAACATGCTGGGAGAACTGCCAAGCTATTTGGTACCCTGGGCAATGGGGGCAGGCCCCGAGGCAAACATCTTCATCACGAACACGTGCAGGGCATTCAGCAGGTGGGCAGAAAGCCAGGCAGTCTGCTATCCCAGAACATTCTCTTCTTCAGAAAAGACAAAGTTGTGCTGTCAAAGCTAAGACCGTTCCTTATCAGAAAAATTCTAAGCGTCTGTTTGAAATTTATACGTGAATCTTTTCTCCCACTTTGAACTATGATCAGAACTGTTTATGGCTGTATCCTTTCCCAATCTCAAAACTTAAAATCAAACTGACAATTATTAAGTTCCTAATACCTCCATACTAAAGATGAAAAGCCCAATACATTTTTTCATACTTAAAATATCACAGAATGTTACTCAGTCACCCCTTTGACTTTTCACCAGCTGACACAAAGAAATCAGAGGGAGAAAAACATACCAATCCAATTCTAAACCTTATCAATCCAACAGCAAACCTCATCATTTTTCCACCATATGAGGAATCATCCTGAAATTCAGACTCCTTACCATCAGATACAGACCTAGAATTCCCTTTTCACTCTGATAATGAATAAACAGAAATTTGAACACCATAAAAACAGCAAGGAATTTTATTTCTGTTAAAGGATGGAACACAAGAAACTTTAAGCTGACAACTGTGCTTCTTGGAGCCTTTAAAAAATGTCTGCTCATGTTATTATAGCCATTATCTTGTTAAGAAGCAATGGCCGGGTGCGGTGGCTCACACCTGTAATCCCAGCACTTTGGGAGGCTGAGGTGGGTGGATCACCTGAGGTCAGGAGTTCAAGACCAGCGTGGCTAACATGGTGAAACCCTATCTCTACTAAAAATATAAAAGTTAGCCGGGTGTGGTGGCACACACCTGTAGTCCCAGCTACTTGGGAGGCTGAAGCAGGAGAATCACTTGAACCCAGGAGGCAGAGGTTGCAGTGAGCCGAAATTGTACCACTGCACTCCAGCCTGGGCGACAAAGTGAGACTCCATCTCAAAAAAAAAAAAAAAAAAATTAATTATAAAGAGCACAAAATGAACAGCCAGAGCTCTAAAATTAAAAAACACGTTTGCTATTTTTACATAAATCTGCACATAAAATCCAGAAACAGGATAGGCATCCACCAACAGCAATCAGGTGCTGACTCTATTTTTGTTTGTGAGCAGATAATATGGCCTTAGGAACACTTGTCTCTTCTAGATAAATACTTCCATCTAATGAGACCATTTAAAGTTACCATATAGTACAGCATTTTAGTGGATGGCACAAAATGGAAAAATCAAATTTCCTACCCCCACTGCACTAATATATAGAAACCATATTCCTTTAACTTCTATCAGGAACCAAATACTAGCCACTGTCGAACAGATGATGCCAGGACACCATACCGTCCCCTTCTTAAGACACTTGTCTGTTTCCAGAACACTACCACCTATTCTCTTTACATAGCTGGTTTCTCACCTTCAGGTCTCGGTTAACTATCTCCTCCTGGAGAGACCTTCCCTGATTTAGCCATCTAATGTGACTTTCCCTACCACTCTCCAACTTCATCCTACACCTCAGCATCCTGATTGTTTCTCTCACAGCACTTATAATTTGTCATCTTTTCTCCCCCTCTCAGACTAGACTAAGTGCCAAGAGTACAGGGACTTGTCTTGTGTCCTGGTGTATCCCAGCACCTGGGATGTTAAATAGCATCATAACAATCATTCAATACCTATTTACTAAATGAATGCTAGTGTCAGAGGCTAAAAAAACACCTCCAGAGAGTTCAGATGTTCAGCCTACAAAGGGGGCAACAGGCCTTGGAAGCATTAACCTCCCCAGATCTTACCAACTGGATCATAATGCAAAAGAGTCAGTTTTTCCCGCAGTCGGTTTCTCTTGGTGTTGAAGCAGAAACCTGTCCCAGCTTCGCTCACCATTCTCACCAGAATGTTTCTAAGATTAAAAAGTACGCTGTTATGTACGAGCTGACGAAATAAACTAAAATCAGTCACAGGGGGATGGCACATTTTGAGAACTCTGTAGGGTAATATTAGTTGTGAGATATCACTTGGCCCTAAAAGGTTCAGTTGTAAGACAGCCTAAGTTTTCCATGAAACAGTTTCAATGGTTTCAAATCTCTAGGATTTGCTCCACTACACAGAGTTACTTCGCAATGACCTAACCAAAACAATAAGAACAATCAAGCCACATTGCGGGACTAGCCTCAGACATCCACCCTTCACGAGGAGCAGAAGTCAGGAAGGGGAAAATATCAAAATACTGGTAACCACAGCTGGCTAGTGAGGAAATTGTAAAGATCGCTGTCTCAGAACAGCCCTCTCTTCCAGGGCATAAATGATTATATTCAGGAAGGGACAAAATAAAGAGACTAAAGCTTTTAGTTTGCTAATGCGCAAAACCTTGTGCCCCTTCATATTTCATTTAAGTTCCACTCATCCAAAGCAGAAAGTCCATGTTTGCCTCACCAGATCTTTTAATACCTGTACTGTTTGTTATTTTTTCATGTGTCTTGTCTCCCCATGTAGACCATGTTATTTTATTTCTCATGTAATTCCAAAACAACCTGGAAGCATCTAAGACTATATTACACACCACTGCATTGCTTTCAACATTCAGCACAGTGCCTCATAAGAGGCATACAGTATTTGTTTGTAATTAAGATAGACAATAATTATTCAACACAGATTCAACAAATATTAAGCACTTACTCTGTGGAAGGCACTCTGGGAAATACAAAGCTCTACAAGTCTATGTCTATGTCCTCTAGGAGCTAACAGTACTGTATGGAAGGTGAGTTGGTACATGAGGTCAATCAGGCAAGACATATATGAAATATGTCACAAGGGTAGAAAGAACGAGAGTCAGAATATACCTCTACAGAAACCAAAGGCAAGAGATTCCTATAGATCCCTGGGGCAGGGAATTTTGACATAAATAACTGGACTGTGGCGAAAGCTACGTGAATCACTGAAAGATACTGGGAGGGAAAGCGCTAACATACATGTTTTTCATTAACGTTAATCCAAAAGACTAGCTTTAAGGATTTTCAATGTCTTGAGTTGCAAGGAAAAGCTGCTTTAGAACCTCCCTATTTTTACCACAAAATCTTCTGTTATTGTCTACAACATTTATTTTGAAATACAAGTTTGGTAGTTCTAGTCTCTCTGGTACAGCATGGAATCTTTAATCTTGGCTATTTTTGAAATGCTTATACCATGAATGCAAAGGATTACAAAACTCATTAAAACAGACTATGATTTAATCAAAGCAGAGTTTGTTCTTCTGGATTCCCGTAGTGAGCTCCAGACACATGGCCCCTGGTCCTCGATTTGAGGAAATGGAAATATGGTGGTAGTCCAAATACAGCACAGCCCAATGGTTTGTTTAGAAACAGACAGTGAGCTCACAAATCCTGGGACTAGAAAAGCAGCAAAGGTTCCTTCAAGTATTTCAATGCTCACAGAAGTAGCTCAGTTCAGCAGGAGGGAAAATATTTTTGAAAGAGTTCATAAAGAAAAAATAATCAACTAAGTAATCCACAAACCAACTCTTAGGAAATCAAGGCCCAATGCTTAATTTCATATAAGGATGTACTGGGAGCAGCTAGACTAACAAATCCAACATAAACAAGTGACGTTTAAAAAAGGAAAAATCTTTACTTACTTTGACTTGCTCTTGGCAACTTTTTTGTAGACAGGAAGGGTTGGAAAAGAAAATAAAAATATAAATGTATTCTCTTTCTTATGCAAAGTTCATATAAATATCAGTAATAACCAAAAATATTTAACTTATGAAATATGCCATGAGGTGTCACTCAAGTAACTATTCCCTATCTATTAGGGATCCCCTTAGGATTTTATAGAAGGAAGGTTAAAAGATCCAATCAGACCAACACAATTCTAGATTTAATATTTTGCATAATTTCATGACTGTTGGACTGGCTACCTTTTAAATCTTTCTAAAGTAATACCTGCTCCATTTTTTCCCTCTTCTAAGGTGCAAGTATTCGCGCTGCAGCAAGCTTCTTGTTTGACAAGTTTAACCTTTGCAAATTACAACAACCATCACATGTGGTGAAAACCAGATACTAAATCTAACTGGGAAGTCAGCCAAGGGTAAAGAAGAGCACTGACTCGGGAGCCCGAGGACTTCTTTAACTGCCCTGCCGCATTACTCAGGCAATTCATTGCCCCTCTCGGGAGCGGTTTCCTTATTTTTAGAGTTCGAAATAGGTGGGCTGCAAATTCTGAGGTCCTTCGGACAAAGATTCTCCTAACACGGGCTGGAGAAAAACGCCCCACAGCCAGACTCAACGGTCCGTGAGGACGGCAATTGAATCCAGACACCGCAGACCCCTTCTCAGGCACCCACAGGTCCGCGCAGGGAGGCGCGCCGCGGGGCATGCCGGACGCTGTGGTCCTGAAGGCCTGGAAAAGTACGCAGCTGCAGCTTCCCGTCCTGTTCGCACATCCTTCCCCGCATCATTCCGGGGCCCTGCCTGTCACGGCCCCCTAACCCTCGCCGTAACCCCTACCGGCGTCTCCAGCCCCACTTACAGAAGACCGCGGAGAGGAACATGGTGACCACACCTGGGCAGTCTCCGTCACCGGCCAAAAGGCCCCCAACCAACAACAACTGCTTCCGGGGCACGGCCCGGTTCTGGAAGAGGACATCCGGCAGTCGCCCGAGGCCACGCCCCCCGCCTGGAACCTGCCTCCAGTCGTCTGGCTCGTTCCTCGGTTTCTCAGAGCGAGTGTGTTTTGCTTTTGTCGTGCTGGAGGTTGGAATCCTCATCATTCTGGAAAGGGATTTACAGCTCAGGGTTCGCGCCCCGGCCCTGACTCCTATTTCTGGGTCAAGTGCTTTCAGCGTTAGGTGCTTTCCATATTTGTTTCACGAAATAATCGCAACCACCTGCATTAGACCCACAAGAACAACTGTGTATTGTACTTCGGCCGCTCCAGCGTATCAGCCCCTCGCATATTTTCTTAAAATGTTGCCTCCCCCGACCCAACTCCCTCTCCGCCTGGTTAAGCCTTACTCTCACTCTTCTGAGTCCCTTCGGCATTAAGAACCCCACCTTTCCTTAGTTATCCCAATCTCTAGGAGGGCAGGACCCTTTGCATCTCAAACTTCTGTATCCAAACACCTAGCACAGTTCCTGACATAGAAGCCAAATAACAGATTGAGAGCATTCACATCACGTGCCTAATATCACAGAACTACCAGGTGGCAGAGTAAGAATTTAAACCTAGATTTTATCTGACTCCAAAGACTCATGCCTTTCCCAGTAGACATTGGGACCTACCAGTTTGCAATCATTAATTTTTCATGGCTCTGTAAGGAACCTGGGCTCCTCTAACACCAAGGACCTCGTCAGTAACCTCATTTCGCAACTAATAATCAGGACTTTTGGATTTTTTTCCTAATCCGTGATTTGTATCTACATATGAAGTCTTACAGATGTGAAATAAGATTTAATCGCATGGCTCACGCCTGTAATCCCAGCCCTTTGGGAGGCTGAGGCAGGCAGATCACTTGAGGTCACGAGTTTGAGACCAGCCTGGCCAACGTCGCGGAATCCCGCCTGTACTAAAAATACAAAAATTAGCTGAACCCGGGAGGCGGAGGTTGCAGTGAGCCGAGATAGCGCCACTGCACTCCAGCCTGGGCGACAAAGTGAGACTCCGTCTCAAAAAAAAAAAAAAAAAAAAGTAATAAAACTGTTTTAAAGAAAATTCAGCTCTCTGTGCCATCACAAAGAAGATGAGGAGGAAAAAAATCAGCTCTCCATACAATACAATTCAATTTTTTAAATTAAGACCGTCCTTCTCCTTAGTACCTATAATACTTTTTTTCCTTCTAATCATTCTTGATATTTATCTTCCCATAACCGGACTCCAGCTACTGAGTACCTTCCAGGTGCCGAAATCCTTCCTTACCTTGCATTGGCAAAAAAGAGCTTCAGATGTTCAAGAGGATAAGGTTTCTTATATTTCCTTTAGAGGATTTATAAGAAAACACAAGACTGGAAGCCAAGGAACATGATTTCTAGTCCTTGTTCTGTCCCTTAGAAAGTCACTTTAACTTTAGCCCAGCCAAATAGCAGTTCTTAAACTCCATGCCCCTGCCCCCAACTCTATTCTCCTTACTCTTCTTTATGTTTTCCTACAGCACTTATTGCCATTAATAGTATTACTTGTGTACTTGTTGATTTCCCTATTGTCTTTGGCTACCAGAATGCTGGGCAACAGCAAAACCCTGTCTCTAAAAAAATTTTTTTAATTAAAAAAAAGAACTTCAGCTTATTCCCTCACTGCTGTATCCCTGGTTCCTACAACAATGCCTGCTACATCTATTAAATATCTATTGAATGAATGAATCTGAGGTGAGAGGCACCATACAAATGTCAATATTTATGTTTAAATAGCAAAAAAAAAAAAACTAACTTTAAGTATTGTCAATAGTTTCAGGATCCAGGAGAATGTATAAGCTTGCTTTTGAAAAGAGCCAGGTGCAGTGGGTCACTCCTGCAATCCCAGTATTTTGGGAGGCCGACGAGGGTAGATCACCTGAGGTCAGGAGTTTGAGACCAGCCTGGCCAACATGGCGAAACCCCATCTCTACTAAAAAATAACACAACTGGCCGGGCGCGGTGGCTCACACCTGTAATCCCAGCACTTTGGGAGGCCGAGGCAGGTGAATCACGAGGTCAGGAAATTGAGACCATCCTGGCTAACATGGTGAAACCCCATCTCTACTAAAAATACAAAAAAAAAAAAAAAAAAAAATTAGCCGGGTGTGGTGGCGGGTGCCTGTAGTCCCAGCTACTCGGGAGGCTGAGGCAGGAGAATGGCGTGAACCTGGGAGGTGTAGCCTGCAGTGAGCCAAGATCGCACCACTGCACTCCAGGCTGGGCGACTGAGCAAGACTCCGTCTCAAAAATAACTTAAAAAAAAAAATTAGCCAGATGTGGGCGCCTGTAATTCCAGCTACTCAGGATGCAGAGGCAGGAGAATTGCTTGAACCTGGGAGGCAGAGGTTGCATTGAGCCAAGGTAGCAGCACTGCACCCCAGCGTGGGCAACAGAGGGAGTCTCCATGTCAAGAGAGGAGAGGGGAGAGGGGAGAGGAAGAAAAGAGATAGCATATGAACTATTTCTTGAAATTCTTGAAGGAGTAGGCTGGAGGCAGTGACTCTCTAGCCTCAGGAGTTCATGTTGCATCCACCTGTTATTTATACCTAATATAGCTGGCAGTTGGTAAGTGTTAATTAAAATGTTTATTATAATACAGATGTAATTCATGATTTGGGGCTTTTTTCCTTGAATTTACATAATGAGCCCTCTATGCCTTATTAGAGGAAAGTGCATAACAATTAGAGCATCCTGGCAGCCCAAATGGAAAAAGTGTAGTCCTTAGAGAAGGGGCACCCTCTTTGGGAGGTGGGGTGCTACAGGGAGGAGAAGATCAAGCTGTTTAACCTAGATTCTCAGCCCGGAGAAGCAGATAGAGGAAGAGAACATCTGCTCTGGGTCAGGGCTCCATACACAGCATCTGTATTGGGTTGGTAGACACTGTATTCCCAGCACTTAGTGATGGGATTCAAACCCGAGGATCTAGAAGCTGTACCCCTCCTCCTCTGCTGTGCTGGCAGACCCCTGGCTGCCCATCATCCAGCCCATTGTCACACCTACATCTTGCTTGACTTGTGATTGGGAAGTACAGCCACTGTTCTTGCCTACAGAATCAGTGATCCTGGCTCCCTGACCTGTCCCAGGGGCCTGGGAACATGGGCAGTGGAAGGAGAAAGACGCTACAGGAGAAAGCTGGGGCTTCCTGAAAAGAGCTGGTACCTTTACAAGCTCAGACACCACAGGCAGATGGGACAGCTTCAAAATCAGGCCCTCAGACTCAATGGCTTAGCATTATAGCAAAGACTACCTGAGGGAGCAAGACGAGTGAAGCTGGGGCCACCAACTGGGTTCAACCTGTGTGTAGTGGGTGTCCTCCAGTTGGCATTCAATGGCCTCTATCATCTGGCCTCACCCTCCTAATTCAGTCCCATCTCTCTTCACTGAGGCTGCTGGGTGCCAATCTCTTTAGGGATGAAGCCTTTCCTCACCCTGCATTCCCCATTCCACCCCACATCTTCCCTCCACAGATTCCTCTCAGAGCATCCATTAAGCTTCCCTGCATGCCTTGGATCACAGGTCTGCCTCCTATTATGGGACCTAAGTCCCTCAAGGACCAGGTCTTCTGAATCTCCCCCACTCCCCCAAGCAGGAGCACTAACGGAAGGTTGCTATCCCACTCACGTTTTTGACAAATACAGACCGAACCTTCTCTACTAAGGGACTGTGCCTTGAGTTATTTTCTCTCCCTTCAGTCCCACTTCCTCCCAAGTCAACCTGAGACAGGCAGAGTGGAAGGAACTGGGGGAAGGCACCTAAAAAAAAGGCATCTAAAAAATGCACATTGAGCATCCTCTTGGGGCTAGAGTGTGGGGTGAAGTGAGGGAGGTGAGCTAGAAAGGATGGCTGGGGCTAGGCAATGAAAGAACCAGTGTTCTAGCTGGGAGTCAGGCTTAGTTCTGTGGGCAGCAGGAAGGCTCAAGAGTTAAGTAAGATTTCTGCAGTGGCAGCACCTGAAATCAGCCATTTTCCCACTTAGTTGGGAGAGTGGCAGTGACTTTCCCATCCCACCCAAAGGCCCCCCAAAGGTCCCCTTGAGAACAATAGACACTTTTCTTGATCTGCATGCTCATGCCTATTTATTTAGTTAACACATGTATTTGGTGTTTCCTTAACAATTGGCAAGTTCTTCTTCCTTATGTTTTGTCACTTAGCCTTTTTTGAAGAAGAAAGGAGGAGGGTGTTGTACACCTCTTGAGAATCTGCTGAGAGGTATGGCTTAGCTTTTCCAGAAGAAAATGCACTTATGCCCATCCACAAACAATTTTACCTGCACTTTCTGGGGGGCCTCAACATTGGCTGTACAATGGGATCACCTAGGGAATTTTATAAACTTTTTTTTTGAGACAGAGTTTTACTCTGTCACTCAGGTGGGAGTACAGTGGCGCATCTCAGCTCACTGTAACCTCTGCCTCCTGAGTCCAAGCGATTCTTCTGCCTCAGCCTCCCGAGTAGCTGGGATTACAGGTACATGCCACTATGCCTGGCTAATTTTTTTTTTTTTTTTTTTTTTTGGTAATTTTAGTAGAGATGGGGTTTCACCATGTTGGCCAGGCTGGTCTCAAACTTCTGACCTCAAGTGATCTGCCTGCTTCGGCCTCCCAAAGTGCTGGGATTACAGGCACGCACCACCACACCCAGCTCATTTTTCTATTTTTTAGTAGAAATGGGGGTTTTGCCATGTTGTCCAGGCTAGTCTCAAACTCCTGACCTCAAGCGATCCACCCACCTCAGCCTCCCAAAGTGCTGGGATTATAGGCATGAGCCAGTGCACCCGGCCATAAACTCTTTATGCCTGTTTCTTACCCCCTGAGTTTCTGATTTAATTTATCTGGGTGCAGGCCAGGTGCAGCAGTTCACAACTCTAATCCCAGCACTTTGGGAGGCTGAGGTGGGAGGCTCTCTAGAGGCCAGGTGTTTAAGAGCAGCCTGGGCAACATAGTGAGATCCTGCCTCTATTTTTGTTAAAAAAAAAAAATCAAAATAATTTATGAGTGTAGTCTGGACTTTGGGTTTTCTAAACTCCCCAGGAGATGCTAACGTATGCCAAGATTGTAAAATACTGGGATTCACGGACAGGTTAAACCCCCTGTCAAACACTCTTAAGTTCCAGGTGTGCTCAATTCACTCCACTTGGTGAGCAGCACCTATCTGGATAAGGAGGGGAGAGGACAAAGTGGCCAGTTTGAAAGAATGAGGAAGTCTTGAAGTTGTAAGCCCAGAGAGGAGGTGTTTACATACATTCCAGAAAGCTGTAGAACCCACCAAAAGAAGAGGTTCTGAAATAGAAGACCCAAAGCAGGAAACTTAATTGCCTTCCTGAAAGATGAATGGAAGTCCAGCAGACAACACCCTTCCCACCCACATACCTCACCTGCCCCAAGAGGAGCCGCAAACAGCATCAAAAGGCTGACAGCATCGGTCTTTGGGGGAGAGTCAACCAGTTAAACGTGTGGCTTGATTGGTCAGTGACAGGGGTGGGGAGAGGGTGGCATTTGTGGGAGTCCACCACCTGTGAGGGTGTGCAGTTTTAGAGGTAATGGGCTGAAACTGTCGGCTGGAGGAGGAAAAGGTTTGTGTCTCGGTCAAGGAGAGGCATTCCTGCGGTGGGTGGAAGCGGGGCTGCAAGGCCGCCGTGCAGAGAAGAACTGCGCATGCGCCGGAGGCCGCCGCGGATTGCCAGCCACGCGACACTGAGCAAGCCCCCGCCTCAGTTTCTGATCTGGGACTTGTGTGGTAACTTCGGAGGAGCCCACAATCTCAGATGATGATCGTCTAGATCATTCCTAAGGCTTTTTCCGTTGCGATGTCACAGGAACCTGGGAGGATTTTAGTCCTCCTAAAACTCTGATATTTTCAAACCTGATACCCGTAAGAATCACGTGGGGTGCCCATGGCCAGATAACATGATTCAGTGGGTGGAGAATGGGGGCGGCTAGGGGCACTTTATAACGCTCACCGGTGCTCCTGATGTTCCGTGTGCCTTGAGAGTCATTGTTCTAGATCACTGTTCTCAGCACCTGGGCATCGAGTTGAAGGGCAGACTCTGAGCTAGTGGGTCTGAAGTGAGGCCTGAGATTCTGCACTTCTAACAAGCTCTCTGATGCTGCTAGCTGTACATCCTGACTACTAAACTGTAATCCAGGCCAGGCATGGTGGCTCATGCCTGTAATCCCAGCACTTTGGGAGGTCGAGGCGGGCGGATCACTTGAGGTCAGGAGTTGAAGACCAGCCTGGCCAACATAGTGAAACCCTGTCTCTACTAAAAATACAAAAATTAGCCGGACGTGGTGGCATGCGCCCATACTCCCAGCTACTCGGGAGGCTAAGGCAGGAGAATCGCTTGAACCCAGGAGCCCGAGGCTGCAGTGAGCCAAGATTGCACCACTGCACTCCAGGCCCCGCAACACAGCCAGATTCCATCCCGAAAATAAAATAAAGTGTAATCCAGGCAGCATCGCTAGCAGCAACACTATATTATTTGGGAGCTTGTTAGGAATGTCGAATTTCAGGTCCCACCCCAGACCTACTGAATGAGAATCTGCTTTTTTTTTTTGACAGGGTCTCACTCTGTCACCCAAACTGCAGTGCAGTGGTGCAATCTTGGCTCACTGCAGCCTTGAACCCCTGTGCTCAGGCAATCCTCCTGTCTCAGCCTCCTGAGTGCCTGGGACCACAGGCATTTGCCACCATGCCCAGCTAATTTTTGTATTTTTTGTAGAGATGGGCTCTTGCTATATTGCCCAGGCTGGTCTCCAACTCCTGGGGGCTCAAGCAATCCTCCCACCTTGGCCTCCCAAAGTGATGGAATTACAGGCATGAGTCACTGTCCCCAGCCAGAATCTGCATTTTAACAAGATCCCCAGATGATTTGTATTCACATTAAAGTTTGAGAAACATCATTATGGAAGAAGTGACTTATGATTGGAGAACCAAGACTGAAACTTGGGAATGAGAGAAAAAGATTCAGTTCCTTAAAATAGAGTAGAATTTAAAGAAGGGCAGACATCTTTTTTTTTTTTTTTCTTGAGACGGAGTCTTGCTCTGTCACCAGGCTGAAGTGCAGTGGTGCAATCTCAGCTCACTGCAACCTCCACCTCCCAGGTTCAAGCGATTCCCCTGCCTCAGCCTCCCGAGTAGCTGGGACTAGACACACACCACCACACACACCCAGCTAATTTGTTTTCTCTTTTTCTTTTTGAGACGGATTTTCACTCTTGTTGCCCAGGCTGGAGTGCAATGGCGTGATCTCGGCTCACCACAACCTCCGCCTCCCAGGTTCAAGCAATTCTCCTGTCTCAGCCTCCTGAGTAGCTGAGATTACAGGCATGTGCCACCACACCTGGATAATTTTGTATTTTTAGCAGAGACGGGGTTTCACCATGTTGGTCAGGCTGTTCTCAAACTCCCGACCTCAGGTGATCCGCCCGCCTCAGCCTCCTGAAGTGCTGGGATTACAGGCGTGAGCCCCCGCAGCTGGCAATTTTTTGTATTTTAGTAGAGATGAAATTTCACCATGTTGGTCAAGATGGTCTCAATCTCCTGACCTCATGTTCCACCTGCCTTGGCCTCCCAAAGTGCTGGGATTACGGGCCTGAGCCACTGCTCCCAGCCAGGCAGACATCTTTATCTCTTTTAGTTAGTGCTCTATTTGTAGGCCTAGTACAGTGTCTGATGCTCAATAAATATTTCTCAAATGAATGGACAAGGTGAGAGTCCAGTTTCCGGAGCCAGAGCATAAGGCCAGCCTGGGGCTGGCCACTATCATGACTTGATGCTAGCTACTAGGGCAAAGGTCTTCCTAGCCCCCCTGTCCAAGACAAGATTGGTCCTGATGCTGGCACAGAACAGAACTCATGGCCATGTGAGGCAGCAGTGTGTTAAGTTGTCTCATGTGTGAATATTAAAAGGCTGCAGAGAAATGTAGCCAAGAAGGTACACTGGCCTCTCAGGAAGGTCTTCTAAGGACCAGGGGCTGAGCCAACCAGTGGGGATGCGGGCGGCCAGAGAAGCCCCAGGCCCAGAAATAACTCATGTGGTCTATAAGAGTGATCCCATGAGCTGCTTCAAACACGGTTTATAATGGGTAGAATTTAATTCACCCAGCATCAATTCTAGTACTCCACTCTTCCCTCCATTCAAAATAGATGTCAGTAAGCCCTATCCCAGGGTCAAAGGCAACCAGTGTGTATCTTGTGGGTTCAGTCCAAATTCCATGTGCTATAAGTAGGTTGGGCAAATGTTAGATACTACAAAGAACAAACAGTGTTTGTTATTAACTAGCCTTAGAGAAATTGATTATTATTCCTAAGCCTCAGGGACACCAGTCTAGGAAAGAAAAAAAATCTGTTTGTTTTTCCTATATGAACCATTAGCCAGACTTTCTGAGTAGCCCTGAGAGTAGAAGTTAGAATTTCAGTCAAAATATATCCATTTTCATCATACCCTAAGAACAAATTGGGCTGAAGATTTCTGACATTCTTCACATTGCCAAGCCCTCTTTCCTAATAATTATTTTAAATTCACTGTGAACATGACAGAGTGCTTCTTAAGGCAGTGTTGTTTTTTTCATCAGGCAATTTCATTTGCTTGATTCCCACAGTGAACTGAGTGAATAGTAATTGTGCATTCCCAAGGATTCATCTACTTCTGCCTTGGGCTGGATCCCATGTTTAAGGAAAAATGACCACATTCAGAGCCACACCAGCCATGTCAAAGTTCCCAAGAATTATTATTTCAGAGGAGTAGTAATTTTCCATTACTCTTTCCTCTGCACTGATCCTGATTCTCAACCTCATTTCTTTTTTCTTTTTTCTTTTTTTTTTTTTTTTGAGAGGGAGTCTCACTGTGTCACCCAGGCTGGAGTGCAGTGGCACGATCTCGGCTCACTGCAACCTCCACCTCCCAGATTCAAGCGATTCTCCTGCCTCAGCCTCCTGAGTAGCTAGGACTACAGGCGTGTGCCACCATGCCCGGCTAATTTTTTGTATTTTTAGTAGAGATAGGGTTTCACCATGCTGGCCAGGCTGGTCTCGAATTCCTGGCCTCAAGCAATCCACCCACCTCAGCCTCCCAAAGTGCTGGGATTACAGGCGTGAGTCACTGCCCCCCCGGCACCTCAACTTCATTTCTAACTGTCTCAGAGAGCCTGTCCCAGAGAGGGATCATCCTGCAAGTGCCTCTGCAGCTTCTCCAGGGGCTTTGAAAGATGGTTCCTGCCCAGTGTGCAGTTCCCCCAAAGATGCCAGCTGCATGTGAATAGGGAACAAGAATCTAACATTGTACTCACTGGCTGTTGGATAAGTGATTTAAACTCCTTGTACTCAACATTCCTGCTATAGAGAGCACAAATGTCCTCTAGCACCTCTGTTGGCTTCTGTAAAGGAACAGCTAATTAACTTTCTCAATTGCTTTGGAATGGCACTCAATGGCAATAATAATCATGCACATTCTTAGGTTTTTTGTTTGTTTGTTGTTTGTTTTTGTTTTTGAGACGGAGTTTCACTCTTGTTGCCCAGGCTGGAGTGCAATGATGTGATCTCGGCTCACTGCAACCTCTGCCTCCCGGGTTCAAGAGATTCTCCTGCCTCAGCCTCCCAAGTAGCTGGAATTACAGGCGTCCATCACCACGCCTGGCTAAATTTTTTTATTTTTAGTAGAGACGGGGTTTCACCATGTTGGCTAGGCTGGTCTCAAACCCCTGACCTCAGGTGATCCACCCGCCTCGGCCTCCCAGCGTGCTGGGATTACAAGCATGAGCCACTGCACCTGGCCACATTGTTAGTCTTTTAAGTCCATTTTCAAATGGATCTATGTCTCTTTTTGTTGACCTAGAGAGACAGCGAGTTGTCATGTTCACAAGAATGACCTAACTTGAGCTTCTGTGGTTTGGGATCCTGCCTGCCTGTATTTCACCCTGTTTTGCCTCCAAGGCAGGGGCCAGGTCTCATAGCCAGGAGATTGTGGTTAGTTTCCTGGCCTCCAATCCGAGGTGGGGACACACCTGCACCCTTGAGGGAGGGAGAGCCTGTGGAGGGTCCATGAGGCCAGGGCTGAGTCACTCTGCAGGAGACATGTCAAAAGGCATTAGAACATCAGTTTGGCATTTAAGGAGCAAGAACCCACACAAAAATTCTTCTGTATGTTAACAATCTAGTCCATTTTCAAACTAAATCCAAGAAAGAAATTAAAGTTTGGTGTCCCCTGACACTGGGACTTGTTCTTCATGAGAAATTAGGCCCAAAAGAAACCTCAGCTTTACCCACATGTCCAGTGGAGGTGAAGGCCCCCAATCTGATAAGACTGCACCCCACAGGCCTCTGCTTCCTACCCTTCACAGTCCTGTTCTAAGAACATGAGAATTCAGAAAACCCCACTGTAAGTCATCATCTTAGGGGTTTCTGCCCAAATCCCTTTCCTCTATCAGGAAATTATTTGAAATGTAACTTGAATAAGCCTGAGCCTTCTTCCTCCCTTATGAAGGTTCATCTTGTTTGGTGTCCTATTCAAAAGAAACATAAGTTGAACTCCAAATGCCCTAAAAACAATGTAAGTCTTTACTAAGCGTCTTGGAGAGTGGACTTTCTTACCCAAAGTCCACTCAACAACTGCACCCAGCCCATTATCCATCCAGAAAGTAGCTTTATGCCCTTCCTTATGTAAATTAATTAGCCTGTTAGATTTCTGTCATCATATCATCCTAGTCATTACTTTTTTTTTTTTTTGAGACATAGTCTCGCTCTGTTGCCCAGGATGGAGTGCAGTGGCGCAATCTTGGGCTCACTGCAACCTCCACCTCCCAAGTTCAAACAATTCTCCTGCCTCAGCCTCCCGAGTAGCTGGGATTACAGGTGTGTGCCAGCACATCTGACTCATTTTTGTATTTTTAGTAGAGACAAGGTTTCATCATGTTGGACAGGCTGGTCTGGAAGTCCCGACCTCAAGTGATCCACCCATCTCGGCCTCCCAAAGTTCTGGGATAACAGGCGTAAGCCACCGCACCTGGCCCTAGCCATTACTTTAATTCAGCCACAAGGAACAGGGAGCCAAGAAGTTCAAAATCCTCCCATCAGAAGGCTGGAAAGAGAAGAAAGGCTGTATCTACTCAGGCTTCAGGGTCTGGGTCTTTGTCACAGTTTTGTGAGGGCTTCTATCCCAGAAATGAGAACAGGGAAGTGAAAACAAAAGGATGTCTATAGGTCTATTAGTGCCAAGGGACCATCTCCCTTTTCAAGATGGCAGCCTCCTGAACAATCTGGGTTCCAGCATGGCTGCCCTGATCCCCAGCTGCAGGTGGAAGGTCAGCAGTGCTATCCTCAGGGTGACACCCTCCATAGGGTCCTGGGACAACTTTACCCAAAAAGGAATAATCACACCAAATGCATATATGTGTCTCTTTGTGAAGCAAGAACTTTTGAAGAATTCAGATGGTTTTAACACAATATGGCATGCAGCTAGAAGAGGAAATCTGGGTTCTCATCAAGTATGATATTCATCCCAGTGAGCCATTTGAAATGAAGGAGGCAAAGTCTTTCAAAAGATGTCTTCTATGATTTGGAATAATTGGGTCCAGTTTAATTTGGTGCATGACGAAGTTAAAGAGCTACGTGATTGCTTCAAGTGTGTTTTGCAGTTCCCAGAGCCACTAATTAGCTCTATGACTTAAAGGTTAATGAGATAAAACATCTATAAATCAAGTTGATGGCTGATGCAAGAAGAATGCCCCCAACTCCTGCTCTACCATGCTAACACTATAATCTCATTTTTCAGGCTGTCCATTTGATTCAATTTGATTATGCATGAACATATACAAACAAATGTGTAATTAGAAGATTCATACTTAAATTATAAACCACCTTGCCTAGGCTCCTTTCTGAATGTGGTTATTCAAAACCAATAAGAAAATAAGTCAATCGTTCATTATTAACAGAATTAATCATATCAGAATTAACCGACTAGGTGAAAGGTTTAGGTGTGTGCCTTCCCACAAAGCAAAAATCTATATGTTGCATTCAAAATGTATGTTCCTTAAGACAAATTTTAGAAAATAAAATTATGGGCTGGGCACAGTGGCTCACGCCTGTAATCTCAGCACTTTGGGAGGCTAAGGTGGGCGGATCACTTGAGGTCAGGAGTTTAAGACCAGCCTAGCCAACATGGTGAAACCCCATCTCTACTGAAAATACCAAAACTAGCCGGGCATGGTGGCACATGCCTTTAATCCCAGCTGCTTGAGAGGCTGTGGCAGGAGAATTGCTTGAACCCAGGAGGCAGAGGTTGCAGTGAGCCAAGATGGTACCACTGCACTCCAGCCTAGGCAACAGAGCAAGACTCCATCTCAAAATAAATTAAAAAAAAGAAAAGAAAATTATGGTGGTTTGTTTGTTTTTTGTTTGAGACAAGGTCCCACTTTGCTGTCCAGGCTGGAGTGCAGTGGTGCCATCTTGGCACACTGCAGACCTGAACTCCTGGGCTCAAGCCATCCTCCTATCTCAGCCTCCCAAGGAGCTGGGACTGCAGGCATGTGCCACCACACCCAGCTAATTTTTAAAAAATTTTTTGTAGAGACAGGGCCTAACTATGTTAACCAGACTGGTCTTGAACTCCTGGGCTCAAGTGATCCTCCCAGCTTGGCCTCCCAAAGTGTTAAAATTACAGCCATGAGCCACACGGTGCCTGGCCATAGGTCTTATTTACTGAAATTATGGGGGAATTTGGGGTTTAGAGAACATTCTAGCGAACCTTTTGTATTTTTAAGGATTCTGTCCCCCTAAATTCTCTATTTGTGTATGTGAAGTTTTCAGCTGGTTATGAGCACAGGCTCCAAAGTCAGGGAAACCAGCTCGATACCGTGGCTCTATCACTTACTAGCTCTCTGTCCTTGGAGAAGTTGTTTTTGTTTTGTTTTGTTTTGTTTTGTTTTGTTCTGTTCTGCTTTGTTTTGAGATGCAGTCTCGCTCTGTCACCAGGCTGGAGTACAGCGGCACAATCCTGGCTCACTGCAACCTCTGCCTCTCTGATTCAAGCAATTCCCCTGCCTCAGCCTCCCGAGTAGCTGGGATTATAGGTGCGCGCCACCACACCCGGCTAATTTCTTTATTTTTAGTAGAGATGGGGTTTCCCCATGTTGACCAGGTTGCTCTCCATCTCTTGACCTCATGATCTGCTGGCTTCGGCCTCCCAAACTCCTGGGATTACCACGCCCTGCCTGGACAAGTTATTTAAACCTCTGTGCCTCAGAGAATCACTTGGTCCAGGGAGGCAGAGGTTGCAGTGAGCTGAGATCATGCCACTGCACTCCAGCCTGGGCAATGGAGCAAGACTCTGTCTCAAAAAAAAAAAAAACAAACAAGCAAACAAAAAAAACCTCTGTGCCTCAGTGTCTCTATCTATAAAATTGGGATAATAATAGATTCAGTCTCATAGGGTTCTTGTGAGGATGAAATATGATAATTCATTTAAGTCACCTAGTACAGGGCCTGGCACTTGATAAGTATTCAGTAAATTATGATGATTATGACTGATTTGGGGGTCTAACTATATTTGCACTTTCTTTATAAAGCCTTTTGAGTGAATATACAGTGTCGAAGTATGAATTTAGTATGACAAAGTTCTTTGCAACTTATGATGAAGGTATAGTTGTTCATTATTAAGCTAGTTTGAGTGCAATATTTAGCAATTTTCTTATTGTCAAGGACTTGATACGCCTTGTCTTTTTCCCCCTTATAGAATCTTTTTTTTTTTTTTTTTTTGGCTGGGTCTCACTCTGTTGCCCAGGCTGGAGTGCAGTGGTGCAATGATGGCTCACTGCATGCAGCCTCAATCTCCCTGGGCTCAGATGATCCTCCCACCTCAGCCTCCCAAGTAACCGGGACTACAGGCATGAAACACCACACCCAACTGTTGTTTTTTTTGTTTTTTTTTTTTTTTTGAGAGATAGGGTCTTACTATGTTGCCCAGGCTGGCCTTCAACTCCTAGCCTCAAGTGATCTGCCCACCTCGGCCTCCCAAACTGCTGGGATTACAAGAGTGAACCACTGCACCTGTCCCCGAATTTTTTTTTTTTAACTTAGAAGATTAAAAGAATTGTTGTGTTCTAGGCATCCAAATTCCTGGGAGATGGGAAAGTAGCCTAGAGTCCCATTTCCATTTGATGGATGGAGCCCTGAATAGAAATGGCATTCCCCAGAATAGAATGGCATATTTTGAGGCTTTGGCCCTACGGAGGAAGTTTCCAGATCTTCTGACACTCTCTGATCCTTCTGGCTGGATCCATTTCCTCCTGGAAGAGCACACAGAAAGTATGGTCTGGTGGGAGCACAGGCTCAGAACAACCATCCCACTCCTGGGTGCCCTCACTGCACACATTCCCAGCAGCCAAGGACATTCTCTTTGGCTTCAGGTTAAAGAGCAACACAAGTGGATAGTTGTGGGTAAATTCTAACACAAAGTATCAACCATTGGCTCTGGTGCTCTGAGAAAGAACCCCATTTAAATTATTAGGAGAGAGTCAAGAAGAGGAAGCTGAAACTCTGCAAAGAGCAGGGCCTGCAGCTGCAGCCCAAGTTGGCCCAGCTCTGTTGACCTTGGCTTTGTCTTTGAGGAACACACGCTTGTGTCTGCCTATTTCATCAGCTGTTCCCCGTCTGCCCTTCCCTTTCCCACCCTGGGAAGTGGTGAGGAGGGTTAAGTGACAGCCTGTGAGGCAACCACTCAAGCACAGGGGGAGTCTGAGGGAGGCTGTTTCACTCTTTCCAGCCAGGACCCACCCAACAGGCTCTCCTCAAATCGAAGTCCATGAAAGAAAAGTATTCATCTGCCCCAGGGTCTTCCCCACTGTCCTGACACTACATGGACTCTCTCCTATGTCCTCATGGCTATGTGTGGGGTGATGTGCAGCACCTCTGAACCTGTTTCGGCCAGGGCGGCCCCCAGAATCTCAGAATGTTAGAGTTGGAAGATCTCAGAGGGCATCTAAAGCAACATTCTCATTTTACACATGATAAAACTGAGGCCCAGAGAAGTAAAGTGACCTGCCGAAGGGCCCACAGCTAGACTGCATCAGCATGCTGAGACTACAGCCCGTGTCTCCTCACTCCTGCACAACAGAGAGCTAAAGGACCAGCATGTTCAGATGTGGCCACTCTTTGGGTAGAAGACAGCACCAGAGATGAGTGCTCAGTGTCTGTGAAGTCACAGGGGCTTGGCAATGGGAGGCTTAGGAGACTCTAAGGAGTTGAAATACATTTTGAACATGTGCAGAAGAGTCTTTCGATCCAAGTCTTGGAGGAAAGCAGGCCAATTTCAGGCTGAGATGGGACAGGTGCTGACTGTGGGGAGGGAGAGGGGCCCATGCTGGAGCAGTCCAGGAATCCTAATCCACGCCTGGGTGGTCCCCAGGCTTCCAAGCCCCCTGGGATCCTGGGAAGTTCCAAGACTGCTGAGGCAGGTCAGCAGGTTCCCGGTTGAACTCAATTACCAGGCCCACTTTGGGGTGCTCAGAATGGGTCAAGAAAGCAGCCATCAGCAGAAGGTGTTGACATGGGACTCCAGGGTACTAGGTTGAGACAATGTGTATTGATTTAAAAGGCACAGAAACCGTAACTGCACACAACTTTACACACATATTCTTATCAACATGTTGTTCCACTGATCATCTAAGGGGTGGTCAGCTTCCCTGGTCACTTGCAGCTGAGAAATGCAGCCTCGGTGACCTTCAACTGAGGAGGAGTCGACATTGGCTTCCGGTCTTCCCAGAGCCCTTGTTGTTTGTTTGTTTGTTTGTTTTGAGACGGAGTCTCGCTCTGTCACCCAGGCTGGAGTGCAATGGCGCGATCTCGGCTCACTGCAAGCTCCGCCTCCCGGGTTCACACCATTCTCCTGCCTCAGCCTCCCGAGTAGCTGGGACTACAGGCGCCCGCCACCATGCCCACCTAATTTTTTGTATTTTTAGTAGAGACGGGGTTTCACCGTTTTAGCCAGGATGGTCTCGATCTCATGACCTCATGATCTGCCCGTCTTGGCCTCCCAAAGTGCTGGGATTACAGGTGTGAGCCACTGGGCCTGGCCAAGCCCTTGTTTAAGAACCACCTTCTTTGGCTTTTCACCCCAGGGTTGCTGGGGACACCTGATGTCCTACATTATTAGGCTTTTCCTGGCTTCTGAAACCTTGTGCTGAAAGTCTCTCTGAGAGCGATACAGATTGATTAGACACTCGGATTGTTTGACACGTGTGGTTTTGCCAAAGGCAACACGTTCTTTGACCAACTTCTGAAACTCCCCAGTTCTCCTAGTCTCTCTGGACTTGAGTATCAGCCATGTTCTTATGTTGATGCCAAGCTCCTGGGTGATTAAAATTCTTCTAACCACCTTTCTGATTCAAGGCTGTACTCTGACAACACAATTGCTTTTTGGGGATTTTTGCAAACATCTCAAAAGGGCAAGAAACATTCTTCCTCCCTTTTAGCCCAATGTAGACCGGAGGTTTTTTCAGCCGTCAGCTGAATGCTGGGCCCCACCAGTGCCCAGTAGGTACAGTCCCATCCACTGTGAGGTGGGCTCCAGGGAGGGCCGTTGGGTCCATGTGAAGCCAGCAGGAGGGGCCATGTGAAGCCAGCGTCTGAGGGGCTCCCCATGAGGCCACCAAGCCCCTGTCAAACCTAGTAAGTCACCCTGACACCAACCCCACCCTTCCTCAGAAGAGCAGTGAATAAACAAGAGCATGTGAATTGGGCAACTCCAGGTGGGGGTGCAGGGAAAGTGCTCAGGCTTGAAGGGGGGATAGAGAGGGGCTGGTAGAGTCACAGTGGGGAAGCAGCTGAAGGAGACGGATCGGTGAAGGAGCTCATGTGGAGGGGCCCCAGATAGTGAAGGAGGGTCCAAACCAACATTTTCTATTCTTTGCCCAGTAAAGTTTCATGAATCAACTCAAATGTTTGCTTGCTCTCACCTTCTGCCCCTAAGGAGGAAGTTGGGGGATAGCTGGTCCAAGGATTTGGACTTTGGGGCTCTCCATTTGTAAGTAAGGAAAAAGTCAAGATGAGCCATCATACTCTGTTTTCATTCCATCCTTGGCACAGACAACATATTACTCCAAAGGAGAGCTGAATAACAGAATTTAAAGGGAAATTAGAGATGAGAACATTTAGTCATCATCCTCATTTTACAGATGAGAAAACTGAGGCCCAGGGAGGTTAAACATTAAATAATGTGCTCCAAATCACTCAACCAATAATTGCAGAACTGGCAGGACTAGAACTCTGCCGCCTAATTCCCAGTTCATGCATTTTCTTGCCTTCTGCTGTGCCTGACAGGTTCCCAGTGGTGAAAGTCGGCCTTGGAGCGCCCTCCCATGGCTGTGGACAGCTACTGGAGCAGCTGTGGCACAGGCCAGTGTTAACTTGAGGATAGAATGACCTGCAGGGCTGGTTGAAACAGATTGCTGGGCCCCACCCTTGGAGTTTTGGGTTGTCTAACAAGTCCCCAGGGGACGCTGACCTACTGATTCAAAGACCACTTACTCAGAAACTCAGATGTAGATAAAAGATTTTGCAGCCAGAATACCTGGTTTCAGGTCCCAGCTCTGCCATCCAAGTGCTGATACCTTGAACATGGTACTTAATCTCTTAGCATCTCGATCTCTTTATTTTATGATGGCAACAATAACAACCACCCATAGGGTTAATGTGTAAAATAAATAAATCAGATGTAAAATACCTGAGAAGTGACATGCTGATGCTGTGTGAATATACAGATTCACAAATATGTGACCTTTGTCTGGAGAGATGCCACTGGAGGCCAGGGAATGTCCACAGAGACAAAAGCATTCTCTTAATGCTACTCAAAATTACAATAAATCCAGAAGAAATTGTGTTTATCCTGCCACAAATACTGGCTGAGGAATTACGAGGGCCTGGCACTGTGCTGTACACCACATTTGCAAAGGTGAATGACAGTCCCTGCCCTGGAGGAACAACTAGAAGGAAGATAAACATGTAAATTCTAATAATTACCCTAATCCCAGATGAGCCAGGGAAGGAACCCTGTGCCTAGAGCACAGAGCATCCCACCCTGTCTGAGAAGTCAAGCAAGGCTTTGAAAAAGAACCTGACTTTTGAGTAGGGTCTTGAAGGATGAATAGGAGTTCTTTAAGAAGAGAAGTGGTAGGGGGCACTCCAGGCAAAGGAAACAGCATATGCAAAGTAGTCACGGAAGCATGAAAATGCATAATATTTTCAAGGAAATCGCACGTGGTTCTATGTAACTGGAGCTCAGTGGGTCTGGGAAAAGGACTGGCAAAAAAGGCTAAGAAGTTTGGGCCATGCCGGGCACGCGGGTGGCTGAGGCAGGAGAATGCTGTGAACCTGGGAGGCGGAGCTTGCAGTGAGCCGAGATCGCGCCACTGCACTCCAGCCTGGGCGACAGAGCGAGACTCCATCTCAAAAAAAAAAAAAGAAGTTTCGGCCTGACTGTAACCTGGTGGGAAGCCATTGGAAGACACCCGACGAGGATTCCCTGAAAAAATTCTTAATGAGTCCCTAAGGCAAAGATTTCCAAGCCAAGCGCTTCACCACATACCCTCAGCGGCCCCAGTGCCTGAGAGCCTCCCCTGCCAGGAAGCCTAGCCCAGAAACGCCTCCCGAAACGGGTAGTGGCCCTGGGGAAGAAGCTTCCCTGGAAGGCACAAGCAGTAAACGGGCAGCCTCTTACCTCTTACCTTCATCAGATACTGGCGGGAGGCACCCTCCTGGCAGATTTCTTCATCCCCCTCTCCTTCTGTGGGTGTGGAGTCACTGGGAGAACAAAGGGATGTTATCTGTAGCTAATAAGTTATGGGAGGGGGAGGGAGCTGTAGGCGCCTGTGGGGGTGGGGAAATGAGTCCTGAGCAGCTCTGATGCAATCCAGAAAGAGGCAGGTGCAAGCCTGCACCTGGGAAGCAAACCCCCTGCCTCCCCAAAGTACACAGAGATTTGAAGCTGGAAGAGGCACCTCCAAGACTTGCCCGTGATCCCACAGCTAGCTGACGCCTGGCCCCCTCTCCCCACATCTGACTCCACGATAAAAGGTCTCAGTCTTGGAAAAACTGGCGGTTGCTGTGTTCATTGACCTCACTCCCTCTTCCTGAGTCTCTCCTGCAGCCTTCCCTTCCCAGCCCAGTCCCTGACCCTCTTTCAGACTCAGCCTTTGGTTTCCAAACAGGTATAGAATGTGGTGTGCAAAAAATGGCCTCCGCTATTTTTGAAAAAAGCAATGGCAAGAAAAAAAGAGCAAACTGCTATTCTGAGCCACATGGGCTTGGGGTTTTGATTCCAATTTCTTTGTCTCCGGTGGAGGTGGAAGCAACTTGCTCTTGTGGGAATAATCCCTTTTGTTTTTAGGAAAAGATTTTAATAGGTCTTTGGGTTATGCAAGGATAAAACGTGAACCTTTTCTGGAAAGGAGACAGTGCAATGCAGGACAACGTGAGGCCACAGGCTCCTCTTAGTCACTGTAAAATGTGGCTTTCTTTGAGAGAGAATGGCATCTCTGCAGAGGTTATGGGGAGTTTTGTTAAAGCTGTGCTTGGAGAACTTAAGAGAGGGGCTTGGGCTGGGCATGGTGGCTCACACCTATAATCCCAACAATTTGGAAGGCCGAGACGGGCGGATCGCTTGAGGTCAGGAGTTCGAGACCAGCCTGGCCAACATGGTGAAACCCTGTCTCTACTAAAAATACAAAAAAATTAGCTGAGTGTGGTGGCAGGAGCCTGTAATCCTAGCTACTCGGGAGACTGAGGCAGAAGAATCGCTTTAACCCAGGAGGTGGAGATAGCAGTGAGCTGAGATGGCGCCACTGCACTCCAGCCTGGGTGACAGAGTAAGACTTCATCTCAAAAAAAAAAAAAAAAAAAAAAAGAGAGGGGTCTGTTTCTGCAGTGGGCACCAGCAGGATTGAGCTGGTGACTGGCAGGGAGGACACCCAGGATGTGTGTGAATTCTCAGGAGTCCTTGCAAACAAGGGGAGAGGAAACCCAGGCAGGGCCGAGCTGTGCTGTTCCCGTTTGGTGACTGAAGGGACTGTGAGTGTGAAGGCAGGTGACAGGAGGATGGGTGGGGGTTGTGTCCTATTCCTCTCTCTGGCAGGGCTACCAAGGGCATCCACGCCAGTTCAACAACCCACTGAGCTCTTCCTAAAAGGACTACAAAGTCAGGTCAAAGAGGCACGGCCACCCCTGGTCCCCCTGCCACAGCCGGCCTGGAGTCAGAGCCCATCCTGAGAACAGAGCCCCACGCATCTTTCCACCCTCTGTGCTAAAAGGAGGACTGAGGTCTAACGGGGCGCCAGTGTAACCTCTTAGTTCCTAAATGTTTTACTTTGAAATGTCTCTTTTTGCTAACTACCTGACTTTGAAAAGGTAAAATGCTTTCTTTTGAAAAAGTTTTTATAGGAAACTGGATTAACCTGGGATTCAGGATGCAGGTCCCGCCAGGTTTCAGGAGTTGGGTTTAAAACTGGAACCAAGGGAAGGAATAAATGGGCATTTGGGGCTTAAAGCACTTCTGTTCTATATTAATGTAAAAATTACATGAATCTATTATTTATATAAAATTATAAACATAAACATATATTATGGTACATATGTATATTGTTTTATAATGTATTATAACTTTTTTTTTTGAGACTAAGTTTTGCTCTTATTGCCCAGGCTGGAGTGCAATGGCGCCATCTTCGTTCACTGCAACCTCCGCCTCCCGGATTCAAGTGATTCTCCTGCCTCAGCCTCCCAAGTAGCTGGGATTACAGGCATGCGCCACCACGCCTGGCTAATTTTGTATTTTTAGTAGAGATGGGGTTTCACTATGTTGGTCAGGCTGGTCTCGAACTCCTGACCTCAGGTGATCCACCCACCTCGGCCTCCCAAAGTGCTGGGATTACAGGCGTGAGCCACAGCGCCCAGCCTAAAATAGTTTTAAAATAATAATTTATAACATCAAAATCCATTTTGGGCAGTGGCTCATGCCTGTAATCCCAGCACCCTGGGAGGCCAAAGTGGGTGGATCACGTGAGGCCAGGAGTTCGAGACCAGACTAGCTAATGTGGTGAAACCCCGTCTCTACTAAAAATGCAAAATTTAGCCAGGAGTGGTGGCACACACTTGTAATCCCCACTACCTGGGAGGCTGAGGCAGGAGAATCACTTGAACCTGGGAGGTGGAGGCTGCAGTGACCTGAGATCGCACCACTTCACTCCAGCCTGGGTAACAGAGTGAGAGTCTGTATCAAAAAAAAAAAAAAAAAAAAAAAAAATCTGCCAGGGCTTGGTGGCTCATGCCTGTAATCCCAGCACTTTGGGAGGCTTAGGCAGGTGGATCACTTGAGGCTAGGAGTTAGAGACCAGCCTGGCCAACATGGCAAAACCCCATCTCTATTAAAAACACAAAAAAAATAGCCAAGTGTGGAGGTGCACACCTGTAATCCCAGCTACTCCGGAGGCTGAGGCATGAGAATCACTTGAACCTGGGAGGCAGAGGCTGCAGTGAGCTGAGATCACACCACTGTACTCCAGCCTGGGTGACAGAATGAGACTCTGTCTCAGAAAAATAAAAGAAAGAAAAAAATATATTTTAATATAAATATAATAAATTTGTAGAAAATATAAATAATATGTAAATGTACAAAAACCATAAATGTCATCATTATCCCACCACCAAAAATTCATTGATGTCAATATTTTAAGATACTTCTTTCTGATTTTACTCAATGCATATAAACAAACAGGCAAACAAACAAATAATCTAATATACTGAACATCCACCTACAGTTATTCTACAATCCTGACAGAGAAAGAAAATGCTTCTTTTCCAAGAGTTCTAGCAAAAATCTCAGGACCCCCTCTCATTGGCCTAGAATGGGTAACATGCCAATTTCTGAGTAAATCTCTCTGATGAATTGTCAGGCTGAGTGATATACCCAGTCCCATCCAATCATGGGGACTGAAAGTTGGGTGTGGTGAAATAGCTCCCCTGAGGAAATCAGTGAATTAATACTCAAAGAAGGAGGATTCTTTGTTGGGTGGTAACAATTCCCATGTCTGCTACAGGGATGCCACCCTTAGTTTGTCCATATTAAATTATTAACTGTGCCTTCATGTGTTTGTCCATCACATTCTCTGCAAAAATGCCCTACCCTACCTTTTCTGCTGGACAGATCCCATGTCAAAGTTCTGGTCTATGAATCCTTCCTTTGCAATCCCTCAGTGAATCCTTCCTTTGCAATCCCTCAATGAACCCTTCCTTTGCAATCCCTCACTGAACCCTTCCTTTGCAATCCCTCACCGAACCCTTCCTTTGCAATCCCTCAGTGAACCCTTCCTTTGCAATCCCTCACTGAACCCTTCCTTTGCAATCCCTCAGTGAACCCTTCCTTTGCAATCCCTCACTGAACCCTTCCTTTGCAATCCCTCAGTGAATCCTTCCTTTGCAATCCCTCACTGAATCCTTCCTTTGCAATCCCTCACTGAACCCTTCCTTTGCAATCCCTCACTGAATCCTTCCTTTGAAATCCCTCACTGAACCCTTCCTTTGCAATCCCTCAGTGAATCCTTCCTTTGCAATCCCTCACTGAATCCTTCATTTGCAATCCCTTGGTGAATCCTTTCTTTGAAATCCCTCAGTGAATCCTTCTGCAATCCCTCAGTGAATCCTTTTGCAATCACTTGGTGAACCCTTCCTTTGCAATCCCTCACTGAACCCTTCCTTTGCAATCCCTCACTGAACCCTTCCTTTGCAATCCCTCGGTGAACCCTTCCTTTGCAATCCCTCACTGAACCCTTCCTTTGCAATCCCTCACTGAATCTTTCCTTTGCAATGCCTCACTGAATCTTTCCTTTGTAATCCCTCGGCAGCATCAGGTGCTCTCTTCTTAAATCCACTCACCGTGGGCAGGAGCATCCATGCACTACTCATCTTTACCGTCACCTCAGCACTCAGCACCACAGCTGGCTCAGAGGAGACTCACCATCAACCCCTGTGGAATGAGTCCTCCTTTTTCAGAGAAATCAAGCTATGCCTTCATCTACTTAGGCAGCCCTGAACTTCCACACAGTGTATATTTCCATTTATAAATCACTGTTTGAAACTTGGAGCAAATTTCTCTGAAAGAAAGTCATAGATGATCATTATAATTAAGTTCTAGAATTGAACCCATAGATTGAACCCATAAGGTAGTCTATAGGGACTAAGTGTGTACTTTTTTGTGTTGTTACACATAGTGAATGAAACCATGCACGTGGAAATTCTTTGCAAATGCAAGTAATTATTATAATCATTAATTACAAACCTTATTATGAATATTATCGCCACCCTTTCCCCATCATCCTTCTTCCCCTCTTCTTCTTGTTTTGTCTGTCTTTTTGGCTTTCTCCTCTTTTCCACCAAGTCTCCCTTACATCTGGGTTTACTAGAATGTGATGGACTGGTGAGGAGCTCACATGCTAATTATAGCAGTGCTCCCTTGGGCAATGTGGTGCGTGGTGATGTGTGAACACACCATTTAAGGGATACCTCCTTGAAGCCAAAGTGGCTTCTGAGAACTTTGTCCACAGTGAGGAAGAATGTGGAGAACACGCTCTCCCACCAAAGGCAAGTCCTGTCTTTTACCCTGCCTAGGCAACCGCTTAGTGCAGAGATATTTGTAGAAGAGGATTTTGTCATCCAGGGGGTGGCTGGGATGCCTGCATCTTTTGTCATGGACCTCCAGAAGGACAACTGAAGGGAGGCCAGAGAAAAAGAACCAGAGAATCCGGAGCCTGGTGAAAACATCAACATGAGAACTGAGGTTTTAGTTTGGCAAAGCGAAGGCCGGGAATAGATCAAGACCTGTAAGAAGATGGTGACATAAAGATTTTTATGAAATCTTGGATGCTTGAAATAAATGTTTAGGGAACATTTAAAATAAATTCCTACTTCAGAGAGCAGAATGGTGGTTACTAGAGGCTAGGAAGGCAAGGAAGGAGGAGATGTTGACCAAAGGGTGCAAAGTTTCAGTTAGACAGGAGAAAGAAGTTTTCCAGGTCTGTTCCACAACATGATGACCATAGTTAATAATCATGTAGAGTATATTTTGAAATTGCTAAAAGAATTTTTTGTAAATGTTCTTACTACAAAAAATAAGGGTGTGAGGTGACGAATGTGTTAATCAGCTTGATATAATCATTCCACAATGTATGGGTATGTGTATAGTACTTGTATATGCATGTATTGTACTATATATATATATATATATATATATATATATATATATATATATACACACACACACACACACACACGTTGTACTTAAGGGGTACAATGTGATAGATATATATACACATATATAAATATATGTATAAACATATATACATAAATCACATTGTACCCCTTAAGTATATATAATTATGTGTCAATTTAAAAATAAAAATTTAAATTAAAAAAAAAATCTAGTTTTAAAAGTGGGTGGCTCACAACACGTGATGTCAGAGATACTGTAGATAACAAATTGACCATACATCTTTATCTCCTTTTTCTCCAAAGACCCACAAAAGTTTTTAAAGCATAAACCCATGAGAACTCTGAGAATGGGAGTGAGGACCTCAGTGGACAGAAGAACTTAGCAAATTTGGGGATGATAAAAAGTGGCTGCCATGGGGTAACTGACTTGAAAGGGCCCAAAGATGGCACTGATGATGAGGACTGAGCAGATCCTCCCAGAGAGCCCCGAGAGCTGGAAACCTGGAGGCAGCAGATTCTGCAGGAAGTGAGTTTGAAGGATAGGCTAAACCCTAGGGAAGCAATTGAAAGACATATATGAAGAAATTACAATTCCAGATCCCCTCCCAATCCCAAATAGTCAGGCAACTATGTCCCTGCACTTGATTGGAGGTTTTTTTCTTTACAGAAATAGAACCAGAGCACCCCCAAGTTCAAGGATCCCAGCCACAATAGGGCAGGTGCTGGCTGAGACCGGAGGAGGATTATGTTTAAGTCTACATGTTAATAGTGGACCCCAATGCCATGCTCCTTCCCTTACCCCATTCCCAGAAAAGGACTATCAGGTATATGTTCCCTGGCTAGAAGACTGGAGGATTCTTCACTGGAAAAAAACTGTTAGCCCCAGAGAAAAGTCCCCTGAAGATGGACTTTGTGTGCATGTGTAAACATTGGGTTTTACTGTAACAAAGCAACTTGTGCACTGTTAAGTTTAAAACTGAGCAACATCTTTCTTTTCCGGTGGAACACAAAGAAAATTTAAAAATAAACAGGAATGAAATTACAATAGAGAATGTCAATTCCAAATAAGATCCTACAGGCTCTGCTAATTCTCCCGTTGAGTGACAGGGCCCAAGTCATCATTGGGGGATAATTTATTTTAAAAGTATCGTCTTTGACTACAAGGATGTCTGTCAAACATCACAATTAAACATACCAAAGGAGAAGCCATGCTGTCAAAATGCCCCCCGACCCAAACATCTCAAACCTACCCTTCGGTGACCTTAAGGAGAGACTTTTATGGTCTCCCAATGAAATAGCCTCAGATTGAGACCTGCCAGTCAAATATCTGTCCATATAACAGAGTCACCAATCATTGTGATGCCTCACTATTCCATATGACTGGATAGCCCAGGATCACCAGAAATTTGCAAAAAGTATCCCACATGAAAGAGAGAGAGAGAGAGACCAAAACAAACAAACAGAAAAAAATGAACTCAAAGGAAATAGAAATGATGTAAAAAGAAACTTTAAAAAAAAATTTATGTGTATTTTTAACTGATAGTCTCAGAGATTTAAAAGAAGATACACAGCCATGAAAAAGGGCAGGATGATGTGAAGTAGAAATAATCAGAGGATGATAAAGAGCTCTTACAAATTAAAAATGTGGTCACTGCTGGGTGCAGTGACTTATACCTGTAATCCCAGCACTTTGGGAGGCTGAGGTAGGAGGATCACTTCAGCCCAGGAGTTTGAGGCTATAGTGAGCTATGATCATGCCACTGCACTCCAGCCTAGGTGACAGAGTGAGACTCTGTCTCTAAAAAGAAAAAAAAAAAGTGGTCAAAAGAGTAGGAAAATAAAGTTGAAGAAATCTCCCAGAAAGTAGAATAAAATGAGTGAAAGCTAAGGAGAAGAAAAGAGTGTTAAAAGAATATTCAAAAAGTTTCAAAAGTTTTATTCAGCTTTGAAACAGAGAAAACAAAGGATAGAATGAATAGATGATTGATTGATGGATAGATGATAGATAGATAGATAGATAGATAGATAGATAGATAGATAGATAGACAGATAGATTGATTTTCCCGGAAGTGAAGGACATAAATCTCCAAATTGAGTGTCCACTAATGTGTCCATTAGAATGGGGGAAAATTCCAAGGCAATAATTTTAAATTTCAGAATTCCAGGAAAATGGGAATAAGCTAATAACCTCTAAAGAGAAAATCATGTCATGTATGAAGGAGTACAACAGCAGTGCAGGAGGAGAGTAGTGTTGGGCACCCAAAGTTCTGAGTGAAAATTATTTTTATCCTGGCATTCTATACTTAGCCAAATAAAGGATAACTGTGGAATAAAGACATTTCCAGATATGTAAGAACTCAAAATTTTTACCTCCTACACACCTTTTCTTAGGAAGATAGTGAAGGATATGATTCAGTGAAATGAAAGACTAAGCCAAGAACAAGGAACAAAGGGATTTCAGAAAACAGAGAAGCAATGCAAAGGAGAAGACTGATGATAAGAAGTCCTAAGATGACACCTGAGCCCCAGCTGTACAGAGTAATATGTCCAAATTGTAGCAAGATGACAGGGCTAAGAAGGGAGATCTATGGCAGTAGAGGAAGGGATAGTGACCAATTATTTCATACACTTGGACATTTGGGGGAAAAAAGCATTGCTAGATGTTTAACAGATATACATAGAACATTTGGAAAATATTAGCAATACATATTTTTTAAAACTAAGCAAAAGAAAAACTATGGCAACTCTTAACTGCAGGAAAAACACAAAGCTGGAGGGAATGTCATTATGCAATACCATGTTCAGTAGAGCCATAATAATATAAACATTGACTACTGACTTAATTTTTAAAAAAATCATACTATGTTTATATGAGGGAGGGAAAATGTAAGAAAACTAAAACCTTAATTATCACACAAGAAATCAATAGATGGTGTCTGTCAAGCTTGTGCCTGCAAGACAAGGTAAGGCCAAGACCTGACTGATTCAATCAGCAAAGATACAATGAACCACTTCAGATTTAGACAGTTTATTACTTATAGAGAGAGAAAAAAAATAAGAATAAGCCAAAAGTGCTAGCTCCCTGTGATCCTTTTCTCACACATCAAAAAGGATGACACAAAAGGGGCCGATGACTGAAACGTGAGTTGTTGGATACCCACTGCTGAGGAATCAATCTTAGATTGTGGCTAAGTAGTTATATTCTTCAGCTCTATTCTGAGGTATGGGGCTTTAGTGATTCGATTCTTTTTAGGTTTTTTCCTTTTTTTCTTTTTTCTTTTGTATTTAGTGATCTGAAAAATCTAAGTGAGGAAGTCTCCTAGATCATAGCCAGAAAGATAAAAGAGACAAGATTTTTTAAATGTGTCAAGATTCCTATAATAAGAATTCTGAGAGAAAGTGGACTGGATGACAAAAAGTCATTTTCTTTTTTTTTTTTTTTTTTTTTTTGAGACAGAGTCTTGCTCCGTCACCAGGCTGGAGTGCAGTGGCGTGATCCCGGCTCACTGCAACCTCCACCTCCCAGGTTCAAGCGATTCTCCTGTCAGCCTCCCGAGTAGCTGGGACTTCAGGCACGCACCACCACACCCAGCTAATTTTTGTATTTTTAGTAGAGACGGGGTTTTACCATGTTGGCCAGGATGGTCTCGATCTCTTGACCTCACGATCCGCCCACCTTGGCCTCCCAAAGTGCTGGGATTACAAGCATGAGCCACCATGTCCAGCCAAAAAGTCATTTTCTTTTTCCTTTTTTTTTTTTTTTGAGACAGAGTTTCACTCTATCGCCCAGGCTAGAGTGCAATGGCATGATCTCAGCTTACTGCAACCTCCACCTCCCGGGGTTCAAGCAATTCTCCTGCCTCAGCCTCCCGAGTAGCTGGGATTACAGGCGGCCGCCACCACACCTGACTAATTTTTTTTAATTTTTAGTAGATACAGGGTTTCATCACCTTGGCCAGGCTGGTCTTGAACTGCTGACCTCAGGTGATCCACCTGCCTTGGCCTCCCAAAGTGCTGGGATTACAGGCATGAGCCACTGTGCCCAGCCTTTTTTTTTTTTTTTTGGAGACAGGGTCCTACTCCGTCACCCAGGCTGGAGTGCAGTGGCCCCACCTTGGCTCACTGCAACCTCCACCTCCCGGGTTCAAGCAATTCTCCTGCCTCAACCTCCTGAGTAGTTGGGATTACAGGCATCTGCCACTGCGCCCAGCTAATTTTTGTATTTTTAGTAGAGATAGGGTTTCACCATGTTGGCCAGGCTGGTCTTGAACTCCTGACCTCAGGTGATCCACCTGCCTTGGCCTCCCAAAGTGCTGGGATTACAGGCTTGAGCCACCGCCCCTGGCCCAAAAAGTCATTTTCTCAAAGAGATCATGGTTGAAATTTTTCCAGAAATGAGGAAATATAAAAACATTATTGTGAAACTAGAGAACATCAAAAATAAATGGTGGAGGGGAGGGAGGATTAAGAGAAGCTATTAATGGGTATAAGTACACAGTTTGGTAAAAGAAATAAGACCTAGTGTTAGAGCAGAAGGGTAACTATAGTTGATGATAATCTGTTGTACACCTCAAAATAGCTAGGAGAGGTCGGGCGCAGTGGCTCACGCCTCTCATCCCAGCACTTGGGAGGTGGGTGGATCACCTGAGGTCAGGAGTTTGAGACCAGCCTAGTAAACATGGTGAAACCCCATCTCTACCAAAAAACACAAACAACGGCCAGGCGCGGTGGCTCACACCTGTAATCCCAACACTTTGGGAGCCCGAGGCGGGTGGATCACAAGGTCAGGAGATAGAGAGCATCCTGGCTAACACAGTGAAACCCCGTCTCTACTAAAAAATACAAAAAAATTAGCCAGGCATGGTGGTGGGGGCCTGTAGTCCCAGCTATTCAAGAGGCTGAGGCAGGAGAATGGCATGAACCCGGGAGGCGGAGCTTGCAGTGAGCTGAGATCGCACCACTGCACTCCAGCCTGGGCGACAGAGCGAGACTCTGTCTCAAAAAAACAAAAAACAAAACAAAACACACACACACACACAAAATTCGCTGAGCATGGTGGTACGCATCTGTAGTCCCAGCTACTCAGCAGGCTAAGGCACGAGAATTGCTCAAACCCAGGAGGTGGAGGTTGCAGTGAGCTGAGATTGCACCATTGCACTCCAGCCTGGGAGACAAAGTGAGACTCTGTCTCAAAAACAAACAAACAAACAAACAAAATAGCCAGGAGATAATAATTCAAATGTTTCTAAAATGAAGAAATGATAAACACGTAAGCTGATCGATGCCCCAAGTACACTCATTTGATATTTACAAATTATGTGAGTGTATTATCACATGTACCCCGAAACTATGTATATCTATTATGCATCAATTAAAAATTGTTTTTGAAAAGAATAAATTAAAAATTTTCAAAGCCAAGAAAGAAAAAGAACGGATGACCTAAAGTGGGGAGGGGACAGGGCAGAAAGCCACATACCTCCTCAGAACCCAGAGGGCAATAAATAACTGTCTTATGACAGCCTCCCAGGGGAGCTAAGACGTGGATGGAAAGTGGCTTCTTAGCAGCTCTTTACAAGTCTCCCGTACTGTCTTGTGTTCTGAGAGGACCACAGGCATTCTGCCAAGATTCATATTCATTGTGGTTCAAGCCTTTGCCTTGGTGCCCTATTTGGATATATGCAAGGTCACCAGGTGCCATGGCAGAGCTGTGTCCCTACAGTATCAAGAAATAATAGTATAAGCATATCACTTAAAAACAAGGAGAGGCTAGGCATGGTGGCTCTTGCCTGTAATCCCAGCACTTTGGGAGGCCTAGGTGGGTGGATTGCTTGAGCCCAGGAGTTTGAGACCAGCCTGGGCAACATGGCTAAACCCTATCTCTCGGAAAAAAAAAAAAAAAAGTCAGGAATGGTGGCACGTGCTTGTGGTCCCATCTAATGCAGAGGCTGAGGTGAGACGACTGCTTGAGTTGAGCCTGGAAGGTGGAGGCTGCAGTGAGCTGAGTTCATGCCACTGCACTCCAGCCCTGGCGACAGAGCAAGACCCTGTCTCAAAAATAAAGAAACAACAACAACAACAACAACAACAAAGAAATTATCAGGGGGAAAAAACAGCCAGAAGATTTGAAGTAATAATCTCTTGAGAGGGAGACTGCAGGGAGGGAGGGAGGGGTAGATGGACATTCAGATTCACTTCATATCTTGGCTACTGTGAATAATGCTGCAATCAATTATTATTCTATTCGTGCTTAATTATCCCATTTTTGGCGAGTGGGTACCTCTTCAAATCAATGTTGCTCTTCTTTTGACAAGACTCTAATAATCTCTGGCAACTTCCTTCTATCTAGTTTGACAAATTTGTATCCTGTAACACACAGGTTAGGATAATGTACAAAATAAGCATGGAAAATTTTTCCCAAGGAGGCTTGGTCCTTTTAGTGGGACATGGTAGTTAGAAATCACAATCTGGGGTCCAGAGGTGCTCATTATTATTGGATTGATCATTGTTTCTAGGCCTTCTCAGTTGACTCTGCTAGGAAGTAGATTATTTTAAATTAATCATAAGTCCATACTTATAATAGTTTCTATTCAAATTTAGAATTTTTGCTTAATATTTGATTTTTATGTTTGTGACTTTGTTCTATTATACTGAAAATCTTGGATCCTAATGTTAACATAGTTGCTTATTTGCTTCATCCTACCTATGTATAATAGTTTCAGAATAATAGTATCTATAATATTACTAACAATATGATTACCAAAGAGAGTTTATTTTTGCAGGGTGTTTTGCTATTGTTCCCTACATAGAGTATATCTCTCAATAGTCCTACTGTTAAATACTATATTTTAGAGTCTCCTGAAATAATTCTGTGAGTTTTGCCATGAAACTGATACATAGTTGTTATCATTTGTCTTTTTTTAAGAAGTGCTTTCTCCGGCCGGGCGTGGTGGCTCACGCCTGTAATCCCAGCACTTTGGGAGGCCAAGGCAGGCGGATCACGAAGTCAGGAGATCGAGACCATCCTGGCTAACACGGTGAAACCCCGTGTCTACTAAAAATACAAAAAATTAGCCAGGCATGGTGGCAGGCATCTGTAGTCCCAGCTACTCAGGAAGCTGAGGCAGGAGAATGGTGTGAACCTGGGAGGCAGAGCTTGCAGTGAGCCGAGATCACGCCACTGCACTCCAGCCTGGGTGACAGAACAAGACTCCATCTCAAAAAAAAAAAAAAGTGCTTTCCCATTTTAATTTTGTTTTATAACTATGTATAATATTTACATTCCAAAATCAAATCTAGCAAGTTGTCTATTCAGAGAAGCCTAGCTTCTATTTCTGACCCGTCTGCCCAGTCTCTCCCTCTCTCAAAGGGAATATTTTTATTTGTTTATTTTTGGTTTATTTTATTTTTTATGAGGATTTTTTCTTTTTTGTTTCCCAAGACTTTTTTTGACATATAATTGACAAATAAAAATTGTATGTGTTTAAGGTATACAATGTGATGATTTGATAAATGTATACATTATGAAATGATTACCACAATCAAATTAACATGTTACTTCATATCATTGTCATTTTTGTGTTGTGACAAAAGCATTTAAGATCTACTCTCTTAGCAAATTTTAAATATATAACACAGTGATATTAACTGTAGTCACCATGCTGTACATTAGATCTCCAGAACTTTTTCATCTTATAACTGAAAGTTTGCACCCTTTGACAAACATCTCTCTCTTTCTACCCCATTTTATTAATTTATTTACTTTTGATGTAATGATTTATTTTTCTGCCTTTTTTTTTTTTTTTTTGAAATGGAGTCTTGCTCTGTCGCCCAGGCTGGAGTGCAGTGGCGTGATCTCGGCTCACTGCAAGCTCCACCTCCTGGGTTCACGCCATTCTCCTGCATCAGTCTCCTGAGTAGCTGGGACTACAAGCGCCCACCACCATGCCCAGCTAATTTTTCGTATTTTTTAGTAGAGACGGGGTTTCATCGTGTTGGCCAGGATGGTCTCGATCTCCTGACCTAGTGATCCACCTGCCTCAGCCTCCCAAAGTGCTGGGATTACAGGCGTGAACCACCGCACCTGGTCATATTTTTCTGCATTTTAATATATAAGCAAACACACGCACACACAGATGAATACTTGTCTTTCTTAAACAGTAGCATACAATACATATTTTTTCCTTCCTACTTTTCCATCTTAACTATATATCCTGGAAATCACTCCATAACAGCACGTAAAGATGGCCCTCATTATTTTTCACAACTGCATAGTACTCCATTGTGAGGATATACCATAACTGATTCAACTAGTCCCCTAGTGATGGGCAGAATAAAATAGAATTTAAGGTAAAAGGCATTACAAGGGTCAAAGTGGGATGGACATTCCATACTGATAAAATCAACAATTCATTAAGAAGATATAATAACTGGGAAATTCAATATAGTTAAAAGCACAGACTTGAAATAGAAGAAGCAGATCAGAGAGAGCCCTCTGGCCTCAGGTGTTTTCTTTCTCCCTCTAGACTGAGTTCCTGAAAGGCCAGGATTGCAGCGGTTTTTTACCCCTGCCCCACTAGGGCCTACCACATGCCTGGCATGGAGACAGCCCCAATAAATGTTGATTAAATAATGCATAGGTGCCAGAGGTCAGAATCATACAAGCTTTATGCTACTGGGAAAGAACAGAAGCCCAAAGATGGTCAAGAAGCAAGCGAGTATCAGCTGGAGATAGGCTCCCTAAACTTCTGGCCTTTCAGCCAGGACTCTGACCTCATGGACCCATAATGAGCTGTCAAAAGCAAACAAAACTGACCACATTCGTCACACATAAAAAGCAGGTGATCCCTGGGAGTTCACTGAGGAAAACAGTACGAATAGGGGGCTGCTTGGAGTTCTTCATCCGAAGCGTCGGTCAGACCAGAGCTGGCGGCCGGAGCATGTCGGGTGGTGGGAGATAACTGTGCCACTGGCTCTTCCCTCCTGGGCTTCCACTTGATACGCCACACTCAGCTTGTGTTCAGGTGACCGTGCTAAGGGGTCTAGGCTTTTCATCCCTCTCCACGTTGCCCTGCAGAGTGAAAGCTGGCTTTTGGCGCAGAATGCTCCATCATGGGATGGGGAGAAGGGAGGGAAAAAAAAGAGGGTGCTGGGGAGAGAGAGGACAGTGCAGAAGGGCAGGGGGATAACAGATGAGGCTAAATTAATTTTGGAAACCATTAAATCTTTGAAAAGAGAGCGTGTTTTCAGCAGGGACAGTGAATCACTGTGATTTGCAGAAACAGGCACAAAGCAATTAGCCATCTGGATGCTGTGGCTTCCAGCCCCCCAGCGGAAACTTGAAGCAAGCGGAAGGCTGGTCATTACACAGCCCAGGCCCAGCACTCCAGGCCCCACAGATAACTCTGTGCCTCCAGCCGGCTGGGAGCCCAGAGGCCTAGGACAAAGGGCAACTTGGCAAGAGATACAAAAAAAAAATGGGCAGGAAAGGCAACACCAGCCACAGGGGGCCGGTACAACTTCCTTCTTCCTATAAGCGTCCTTCAGAATTCATCATGACCAAGTGAGTAGTTCACTCACTTGATAAGCATTTATTAATCACCTACTATCTCCCAGGACTTGTGCTAGTACATAAATGATGTCATTTCATCCTCACAACATGCATATGAGGAGTTCTGCCCATTGCACAATCCCAAGAGGACCCATCACATGGCATTCAATGTGAATAGCACTCCCAGGAGTTAGAAAGCAGAGTAGCTTTGCCTGAAAATACCTTAAAAAGAGAGTATTATCTTGTTTTTTCTTCAATGAGGAAATCAAAACAGAAAAAGAGGAAAGGAATTTGCTCAAGGTAAGTTTGCAAATTGCTCCTCTGTACAGCTCTAAAGTTGTGTGAACCAAAGGAATACACAAGAGTGTGAAAAGGTTTTATAAACTGTAGAGTACCATATACAGCTGAACTACTCTTAGAAGGCAGTTACCTTAGCTTCCTCCGACCCTCTGTGACCGTAAGGTACTGCCCTTTGATTCATTTCTAGAAATTGCTAGAAGTATTGGACAAGCCCAATCAGGAAAAGGGTTAGCAAACCTTTCCAGGAGGAGAACGCACAACTGAGCAGAAAGAGCTGTGCTCAGGGAAGCCTGACTGTAATGTACTGTGATTTATGCACTAAGAAAATCTTGACACTATTCTCCATCAATTGCCCCCATGTGGGCGCAAGAAAGCCATATGGAGCAAAACACTGGCAGAGGGAGCCCACTTCCAGCAAAGAGAGAGAAGCAACGAAGAAAGAGCACCCCTTAATTGACTAGAGGCCAACACCCCCACACAGAGGTGCCCATGTCCTTTCGCCTGCCTGAGTTTACTGTGGGACCATGGACCGAACCTTCTTGCTCCACACTTCGGTGGCACCACTCCAGAGCCTCAGCCAAGAGCTGTGTAGCCCAGCTCAGGACTCTGTGGTGGCCTAGAAAGCCCCAGACTACGATGGCCAAGGGCTTTCCATTTGCTGTCTACATCTGCCGTCCACCCAGCTGCTGCTGAAGACACCGGATCTCCCACAAGGAAACAGTACAGCAGAGTGAAGAGAGCATCATCCAGGGAGCAGATAACCTGGGGGAGAATCCCAGCCCTACCTCTCTCTGGCTGTGACCTTGGGCGAGGTGGTTGACCTCTCACCTTGCTTTCTTTCTGTACAAAATGGAATCGGGTTCCTGACCTCACAGGGTATGGTGAGGATTGAGTGAGCTCACAGGTGCCCTTGGGGAAGAGGCAAGTAATGGAGCTAGTGCAGAAAGTTTAAACAATAAGAAGGGGTGTGTGGCCACTGCCAGGTCCAGGGAAGGTTCCTGATTCAGTCCTGGCTGCCACAGGAATGCAAGCTTGGTGTTGGCAGATCCTTTTATTTGTCAAGAAAAATCAGATATCTGGATTTTTATGTGAACTTTTCCAATTTTCAAAAGCCTGTGAGGACAGAACAACGCATATCTGCAGACTGTCAGGGTGCAAACTCGGATGACTATGACATTCCTGCAGCGCTCTTGGCCTGGTCCCTGCCTGGTGCCTTCCTCCTCTCCCCATTCTACCTCTTCCTGGCTAGCTCCCTAAGGCCCTGCCTTTCCCCCTGGTGTCTGTCGCCCTCATTGTAAAGTGGGCAGAGGCCAGCTCAGTCCTGGGGTGGCCAGAATTCAAGGCCCTGGGGCTGAGGGAGGGCAGGTCGGGTGGCACTATGAGGACAGGTGTTCTCAGCAGAAGCAGGTTAGGTACAGGACTGTTACCTGGAAGCCCTACTGAGCCTCTTCCCCAACAGGGAGGGGGAAAGGTGGGGAGCAGGCAGATACCTGCAGCCACAAAATGAATGAACGAATGAACAACGAACAGCCCAACCACCGCTGCCTCAGGTGGAAGTTGGCAGCTGTGCGGTAGGATGGCAGATTATCTGGGGCTCTTCTCAATCAATAATGTTGAGGGAGCACCCAGAAAAGTCTTCTTGCAAAAGTTGGTGGGGCCTTTGGTAGGCCCAGCCCAGCAAACCGGCTCAGGGCCAGGACCCAGTGAAGCCAGCCGCCTCCCGGCGCCCAATCTCCATCTTGGGCCTCGGATTAGAATCAGCCGCCCCCGCCCCGCGCCTTCCCGAGAGCCCCGCCGGGGCTGCCGGAAGCGGGGGTGCAGGGCGCGGGCATGGGGGTGTGCCCTTGCATCAAGGCCCTTCCCAGAAGGGGCAGCGCCTTCCCAGCACCGGCCTGCTGGTCTCCCCCGCGCCCGCCCTTCCCGGATATCCCGGCGACGCGCTGCAGCCTTTCCCGGGCGGCTCGGGTTGGCGAGGTCCGGGAGCCCTCGGTGCCGCGATGGGAAGTGCTTGCCCACGGCCCGGCCTGGGGACACACTCCCGCGCCCTCCAGGCCCCTGAGCTGTTCCTGGGAAAGGGCGTGAACGAAGCTCCCGCACAACCCCTTTCTTTCTCTTGGCACTTCCCAGTAAACCCTCCAGGTGTCCAGGTGGGGCACTTTCCACTGCCGGGCTCAGCCCTGGGTCTGGGTCTGCGGCCCGTCCCTTCGCTGCAGAGCGCGGTGCAATCGCGGTGGGGTTGGAAGGGGTCAGGGCTCCTGCCGAGCCAAGTCTCCTCCTCTGCCTGGGCAGCTACACGACTGGACCTCAGTGCCCACTACATGGACAAGCCTTGAAACTCATCCATCCAAACATCAGATAAACCTAAACTGAGAGACATTTCACAAAACTACACAAAGATGAAGAAGGGCTGAGGAACTGCACCAGACCGAAGGAAAGGAAAGAGACAGAACAACTAGATGCAGTGCGTGATCCCAGCTTGCATCTTGGATGGGGGGGAAATTGCTGTTAAGGACATAATTGGCAAAATTTGCATGTGGATTATATAACAGTAATATTGTATCAATGTTAAATTTCCTGAATTGGATCATTGAAACGTGGTTATGAAAAAGAATGTCCTTGGTTTGGCTTCTCTGAAGTATTTAGGGATAAAGGGACATGTCTGCAACTTCACCTCAAAATGGTTCAGAAATAAAATATAAGTACATTATTATTCCCCAAACAATTAAGCATATGGCTATTGTATGGCCCAGAAATTCCGCTCCTAGGTGTATGTCCCAGAGAAATGAAACATATGTCCACACAAAAACTTGTACGGGAATGTTCATAGCAGCATTAATCATAATAGTCAAAATACAGAAACAACCCCATGTCCATCAAGTGATGAATGGATAGCCACAATGAGATACATCCATATATTAGACTGTAATAAAGCCATAAAAATGAATGAAGGGCTGATACATGCTACAAATGGACGAATCTTGAAAACATTATGCTAAGTGAAAAAAGTGAGTCACTAAAGACTACAGATTATATGACTGTGTTTATATGCAATGTCCAGAATAGACATTGTAGTCTATTCTGTCTATATAGAGACTACATATTATAGTCTATAAAGACAGAGAGTAGGTTAGTGGTTGCTTAGGGCTGAGGTGAATTGGGTTTAGGGAGGTGATAGCTAAAAGAGGTACAGGGTTTTGTTTTTTGGTTTGTTTTTCTTTTTTTGAGATAGGGTCTCACTCTGTCACCCAGGCTGGAGTGCAGTGGTGCAATCATGGCTCACTGCAGCCTCAACCTCCTGGGATCCTCCTGCCTCAGCCTCCCCAGGAGATGGGACCAAAGGCACATGCCACCACACCTGGCTAATTTATTTTTTATAAAGATAGGGTCTTGCCTTGTTGCCCAGGCTGGTCTCGAACTCCTGGGCTCAAGCAATTCCCCCCCACCTTGGCCCCCCAAGGTGCTGGGATGATTACAGGTATAAGCCACCACGCCTGGCCCAGAGTTTCTTTTTTAGGTGATGAAAATATTCTAAAATTTGCTGTGTGGTAATGGTTGCATATATGGTATATGACTTGTATCTCAACAAAGCTGTTATAATAATAATAATAATAATATGTATTTATGTAGACAGACAAAAAGAGAAAGTGATTGATAAAGCAAATGTGGCAAAACATTAATGACTATTGAAACTGGGGAAAGGATATTCAGAAATTAATTGTACTATTCTTGTATCTGTCCTGAGTGATATGGTTTGTCCCCAACCAAATCTCATCTTGAATTGTAGTTCCCATAATCCCCACATATCATGGGAGAGACCCAGTGGGAGGCAATTTAATCATGGGGGCAGTTACCCTCATGCTGTTCTCATGATAGTGAGTGAGTTCTCACGAGATCTGATGGTTTTATAAGGGGCTTTTCCCCCTTTTGGTTGGCACTTCTCCTTGCTGCCGCCATGTGAAGAAGGACGTGTTTGCTTCCCCTTCTGCCATGATTATAAGTTTCCTGAGGCCTCCCCAGCCATGCTGAACTGTGAGTCAATTAAACCTCTTTCCTTTATAAATTTCCTACTCTCAGGTATGTCTTCATTAGAAGCATGAGAATGGACTAATATACTGAGACTGAAATTACTTCAAAATTTTAAAAGTTTATTATTTTATTTATTTTTTGAGATGGAATCTTACTCTATTACCCAGGCTGGAGTGCAGCGGTGAGATCTCAGCTCACTGCCACCTCTGCCTCCTGGGTTCAAGTGATTCTCTTGCCTCAGCCTCCTGAATATCTGAGATTACAGGCATGCACCATGACACCTGGCTATTTTTTTTTTTTTTTTTTTTTTTTTTTTTGAGATGAAGTCTCACTCTTGTTCCCCAGGCTGGAGTGTAATGGCATGATCTCGGCTCACAGCAACCTCCGCCTCCCTGGTTCAAGCGATTCTCCTGCCTCAGCCTCCCGAGTAGCTGGGATTACAGGTGCCCACCACCATGCCCGGCTAATTTTTATATTTTTAGTAGAGACGGGGTTTCACCATGTTGGCCAGGCTGGTCTCGAACTCCTGACCTCAGGTGATCCGCCCATCTCGGCCTCCCAAAGTGCTGGGATTACAGGCGTGAGCCTCCGTACCTGGCCTAAAAGTTGATTTTTTAAAAAGAGAGAAATTTACCTATCTACCCACCTTCCATCTAGAGGCTGGTCATGGAAAGGTTGCAGTACAGGTTCAGAAGCATGACAATCTGGACTCCAAGCTTAACTCCACTGTTTTCTAAATTGCATTACCTTGAGTGAGTTACCTGACCGCCCTAGGCCTCAGTTTCCTAGTCTGTAAAATGGTAATGACACCAATAGTACCTACGACAGAGAACTTACAGAGGATTAGAGATGGTACATATGAAGCTGTTAAATTTTTTCATGTGGTAAGTACTCAATAAATGTTAGCTATTATTGTTCATTTGAAGCAATTTTAAGGCTGGGAGCAGTGGCTCATGCCTGTAATCCCAGTGCTTTGGGAGACTGAAGCAGGAGGATCACTGGAGGCCAGGAGTTCAAGACTGGCCTGGGCAACAAAGTGAGACACTCCCCCATCTCTACAAAAAAATTGAAAAATTAGCCAGGCATGGTGGTGTGTGCCTTTAGCCTCAGCTACACAGGAGTATCTCTTGAGCCCAGGGGTTTGAGGCTACAGTGAGTGAGTTATGATCATATGACTGCACTCCAGCCTGGGTGACAGAGTGAGACCCTGTTAAAAAACAAACAAACAAAAACAACAACAACAAAAACAACACACACACACAAACACAATTTTAAAATAATTTGTCATTTCCTTTCTTATTACAAAAGTAATACTTTTTTTTTTGAGACAGAGTCTCGCTCTGTTGCCAGGCTGGAGTGCAATGGTGTGATCTCAGCTCACTGCAACCTCTGCCTCCCGGGTTCAGGTGATTCTCCTGCCTCAGCCTCCCGAGTAGCTGAGACTACAGGCACACACCACGACGCCCAGCTAATTTGTATATTTTTAGTAGAGATGGGGTTTCACCAGGTTGACCAGGATGGTCTCGATCTCCTGACCTCATGATCTGCCTGCCGTGGCTTCCCAAAGTGCTGGGATTATAGGCATAAGCCACCGTGCCTGGCCCTACAAAAGTAATATATGTTCATTATGGAAATTTTGGAAAATGCAGATATACAAACAAGGAAATAAAAATCACTGTACCCCCAAATTCTGTGAAAATTGCTGTTAACACTTTGGCATATATCCTTCTGGGCTGTGATATATTTACAGTATATGTAATATAATTTTTAGCATATTGTATATATTATTTTATAACTTGCTTTGTGCACTGTACATGACAGACATTTACTATTTACCACATCAGGTGCTCAGCTTAGTGCTAAGGGTTCTGACATGAATAGGACAGTCACCTAGCTCTTGGGAGTGAGTGAAACCTAGAAGTAGGAGAGACTTATTAGACAATAATTACAGGAGACAATTTGATAGAAACCACTTTGATAAAAAGAAGGGCTTGCTCAACTCAGCCTTGAGATGTTGAAATGGCTTTTCAGAGGTTGTCAGTGGGTAAAGAGATGTTTCAGACAGAGAAATGGGCAAGTCCTACCTGGGCAGAGGAAACACTGTGCAGACCAGCTGGGGCATGTTTATGGCCTGTTTCAGTAAGTGGATCATAGCAGGAGGCAGGATGGAATAGCAGCGTAGCTAGGACCAGATCCTAAGGGGCCTTAAATGGCATGCCAATATTTCTGAGTACTGTGCAGTCTTCAAGGGTTACAACAGATCACGAACCTTCCAGTGCTTCCTCTCATAACACAGTATTTAGATTCCCAGACTTTGGAGCCAGATCGGCTGAGTTCAAACCCTGTCTGTGCAACTATCAGCTGTTCAGCTGTGTGACCTTGGGCAAGTTACTTAACCTCTCTGAACCCTGATTCCTCCTGCAAACGGTGGGAAAAATAATAGAACCAATCTCTCTGGGTTGCTGTAAGGATTAAATTAATTTACAGTGCATGTAACATGCTTACAGCAATGTCTGGCACACAGTAAGCACTAAGTATTTGTTGTTATTTGTCATCTACCATCACCTCAACTATCTCTTCTAGCAGCTGAATCTTCTGTAATTTAACCCCAAGGAAGTTTAAGAGCAAGGTGGGCTGCCTAGATCCCTGGTTTGCAGGAGCGGGTTGTTTGTCAGAGCTGGAGCTGGGGAGCTTCCAGCCAAACCCTGAGACTTGGGGAGGGGTCAAGAAAGGAGCCTGCTTACCAACCACTTCTGGGGAGACCCTAACTAACATCCCGTCCCTCCTCCCCACTGTCAGGAAGGCATCCTCAGGGCTGGGACCGGGCCCATACAGCTGCCTTCTCTCTTGAGGAGAAAGCTGTGATGGAAACCCTTTTCTCTAGGGAGGAAATGGGCAGGGAATGACATTTGTGTCCCCACCAGTATGCAAATCACCTTATGAGACAAATGATTTTGCAGGAAAACACATCCTGTTTCCTCTAGAACATTTCCCTTGATGTCTGGGGGGAACTGGTTGGAATGGTCAAGGTCACAGCAAGTGTTCAGAAAGCTCCTGACCACTGTCCCCTGTCCCGGAGAAACCAGGGAGTGGTAGAGAAGGGACTAGGCTTGGCAGTCCTAGGCTTGGCAGCTGACAAGGAAACTGGCCCTGGGCACACAAGCTCCCTCGCCAGGTTTTCCCAGATGACAAGGGTGCAGGGAGGCCTGGTGGAGCAGCGTCTGGGGAGCCAGGGGTCCTGGCTTCTAGGGCTAGCTCAGCCCCTCACAGGGAGGCCTGGTGGAGCAGCATCTGGGGAGCCAGGGGTCCTGGCTTCTAGGACTAGCTCAGCTCCTCACCCACAGCATGACCTTCGACAAGTCATTTCCCTCTGTAGACCTGAGTTTCCTTATCTGTAATATGAGAGGGTTAAATGAAATCAAGTGTTTGTAACTTGGGGTACACAGATCCTTAAATCATCGATGGGCTTCAGGGGATTGCTGCCACCCCTCAAGTGTATGCAAATATACAATTGTGCATGTGTATATTTTTCTGCAGAGGTGTGCAAAACTGTCATCAGTTCACAGAGGGATCTATTATCCAGACAAAAGTTTAGGTGGTCTCTGGGCTCCCTTGAGCTGGGTGCTGGGCTGATGGAAGTTTCTCAAGGCCAAGGATATGCCTTTAACACCAGCGAGGCATAGTTCTGGCACACTGTAGAGCCTCAATGTTTGTTGAATGAATGATGTAGAGGCTCAATGTTTGTTGAATGAATGAATGACACTCATCAAATGCTGGGTCATGAGCACAGCAAAGGGCGGAGATGGATATTGGCGCAGGGTCTCAGCTGTGGGAGTGAAGTGGGACAGCGAGAGGGCTAGTAAGGGGTCAGGGTTTGGAGAGAACAGGAGAGGTGTCTAAGAATGTAACCTGAATCTGCTCAGTCCAGGGGCTGTCTGGTTTGGGTTTCTAGTCACTACCAGGCGTGCACACCTCTCATTCCCCTTTGTTCTTTATAGAAGACTCGGCTAAGCCAAACCCAGCCCCAGGTTCAGCAACTAAATTGGTTTGGTTGCAGCAATTAAAATTCTCAAGCTTCTCCAACCAGAAAATCCATCGAACTTGAAGAATGTAGCCTGGTCTCCAGGGGTCACTGGAACTGGTATGGAAGTGAAAGTAAAAGCAGGGGTCAGCCTGTCTGCCTGCCAAGGATACCTCCAGCCCTAATGGGCCCCTACACCCTTCATTCAGGCGCTGCCCCCACTTGGACTTTTGGCTGAACTCTGTCACCCTCTAGTACCTTTGAGCTTTTCCTGTCCACTCATACCTTCTTCTTGGCCTACACATATGCACTGGTTTCTACACTGGTCTCTCTTGTCCTTAAAATGCCTTCACCAGTTTTTTTATGATCTGGGAAAACGCTTGTGATTTGATGATTAGGATACACACACACACACTCACACACACACATGCACAATTGTGTATCTATAGTAGTCTCAACCCCAAAATATAAAACATGTAGAAATTCATATACACAAGCATAATGTTTTGATGTTTGCGCTGTCTTAAGACCATTCTGTTTCTCCCCTTCTGTTACAAAGGAAATGTGCTCAGATGAAAGGGATTCTGAGAACTCAATAGCAGAGGAGGCACAGAGGCTGAGGGCATCTGTATGGCAGGCGAGACACCCAGGGAGGATAATTGCATGGTCCAAGACCCAGAGGCCCCTGGGCAGGTACAGGCCTGGCTAAAGGAAGCTCATGTAGTTCCCTGGAAAGGCCAAGCTTGGGAAAAATGGTTTCAGCTGGTCAGGCCCTTTGAGGTAGGACCTCAGCCCATTGGAAGGAGTAGGGGGATGGGGTGGGTACACGACCCAGCAGAATCCATTCCCTTGGAGAGGGGTAGCAAGGGCTGGGGCCAGGCCTGGGGTTGATGACTGAGCTCACTCTGCCTGGAGAACTGGGGCAGACCAGCTTTCCCCCAGGCAGAGGCCAGTACAGGGGAGGAGGATGAGAGACTGTAGGGATTCCCAGTTAGTCTCCCCAGGCCTCACCTCAGCAGGCTAGATACAGTCGGGGAAGTCAAGCATGGGGGAAATGCCTCCTCTCATTTCTCAAGGGAGAACTGGAAGCTGTTTCCCCCTTTGCACTTTTCAGTCTGGCTTCCAGCCTCATCTGTTTTCTGGAACCATTCTCTTTCCAGAGCCCCAGAGGCCTCCATCCAATAGCACTTGTGTTAACACTGCCAGTGCCCACTTCCTGGAACCCTCTGCATCCTTGGCCTTCCTGGCCTCAAGTTCCCTGTTGTTCTTCCCCTCGGGTCACCCCTTCTTCCTTTACTGTGCCCTTTACAAGCCCTTCCTTCCCTGCTGTGGGAACCCCCAATGCTCAGGCCTTGGGATTCTGCTCTTCCTTCTCTACGGTGGGCTCCCTTAGAAAAATTAGCTCTCTCTGGGTTTCAACTGATGCTTCCACAACAACGACATAATGGATAGTAGAGAGACATGGTCACTGGGGAATAGATTTTTTTAAAAATAATATCCTCCACTTTGGGAGGCCGTAGGCAGATCACCTGAGTTCAGGAGTTCGAGACCAGCCTGGACAACATGGCAAAACCACATCTCTATTAAAAATACAAAAATTAGCCAGGCATGGTGGCATACGCCTCCCAGCTACTCAGGAGGCTGAGGCAGGAGAATTGCTTGAACCCAGGAAGCAGAGGCTGCAGTGAGCTGAGATCATGCCACTGCACTCCAGCCTGTGCAACAGAGCAAGACTCTGTCTCAAAATAATAATAATGATAATAATAATAATAATATCCTCACTTTGCAGAGAGGAAAGGATTCAGATGAGTTAGGAGACCCACCCAAGGGTCACTCACCTTAGGCAACTCGCCCTTTTTACCACCTTCTCTTCCGTCGTGGCCCCATCCCCACAGCGACCTATGAGGCTGTAACACACAGAAGGAAGCCCCACTTAATCAAAAGTAACTGGGCCAACTCCTCCTGCCCAACCCCATGCCATGGCCAGATCATTGTCAAGCTGTCCCAGGCGTGCGTCATGGTCACTCCCTGATCTGACTTGAACATTGGCCTTGGGAGGAAAACGGAGCTGTCAGTCTGACTTCCTCTTCCTTTCTCCCCTCTGCCTCTGCTGAGAGCATTGAGGGAGGAGTCATAGTTCTCTTCATAGTCATAGTTTCCAGAATAAGGCATTTCCATAGGCAGCCGGGTGCGGTGGCTCACGCCTGTAGTCCTAGCACTTTGGGAGGCAGAGGCAGGCAGATCACCTGAGGTCAGGAGTTCCAGACCAGCCTGGCCAACATGGCGAAACCTTGTCTCTACTAAAAATACAAAAATTAGCCAGGCATGGTGGGGCATGCCTGTAATCCCAGCTACTCGGGAGGCTGAGGCAGGAGAATCACTTGAACCCAGGAAGCTGAGGTGGCAGTGAGCTGAGATTGTGCCATCGCACTCCAGCCTGGGCAACAGAGCGAGACTCCATCTCAAAAAACAAAAACAAAAACAAAAACAAAAAAATCATAGGCTATAGTAGTGCTGTTGCCATTTGACTAGTGTCTATTACACTGAGCATCTACTATATACCCAGAACTTTCCTGGGTTCTAGGGATATAGCAATGAGCAGAACAAATTCTTTTTTTTTTTTTCTTTGAGGTAGAGTCTCACTCTGTCACCTAGGCTGGAGTACAGTGGTGCAATCTCAGCTCACTGCAACCTCTACTTCCCAGGTTCAAGTGATTTTCGTGCCTCAGCCACCCAAGTAGCTGGGATTATAGCCATGCGCCACCACACACAGCTAATTTTTTTGTATTTTTTAGTAGAGATGGGGTTCGCCATGTTGGCTAGGCTGGTCTCAAACTCCTGGCCTTAAATGATCCACCCACCTCAGCCTCCCAAATTGCTGGGATTGCAAGCATGAGCCATCGCACCTGGCGCAGAACAAATTTTTATCCTATATATTGTAACAGAACTGTATTGAACGAAGTATTTCAGCCTTGGATGACACATACTTAAACCCATGAAGATGATAAAGCCCACTATCGAGAAGACTTATTGTTTTGTCTGCCCAGAACAGCACCTCCCTTCTTTGGGGGAAATCCTCCTTCACCAATTCAGCTGTAATTATGGAAGGAGCTGCCAATTATTGTGCCAATTATTGTGTATTGCTCCAGTGTTCACAGGAATGAGTGTGAAACCCAGGTTGGGCCAGTCACTGAACCCTAGGAGCCCCTTGGCCACAGTGATTGGTCTAGGAAGAGTCATATGGTCTGGGTTGAACAAATCAGAATGCCTTTCCTTCCATAGCTTTTTCCTTTAAAAGTTTTAAAATTAATTTTAAATACATAAATTATACCTGAATACGTTATCACTGAAAAAGTTTAAACCTGACAGTCTCCTTCAATCTCAACACCTAATCTTAGCTTCACCAGAGATAACCAAGGTAATTTAGTGAATCTAGACCTTTTCTATGCATTTTCATATATTTAGAAATATGTTATAAACATATATAAATATATATTATTATTTCAAGGTTTTGTTTTGGTTTTGGTTTATGCTTGAGTGATACCATATTGTATCTATATACTGCAAATTACATTTTTCATTTACCAAGATGTCTTAGGGGTTTATGTCAGTACATACTTCATTCTTTTTAATAGTTTCCAGGTTTTCAGAGTATAAAATATATCATGGTTTAAAGATGGACACTTATGTTATTCCTAATTTTGCATTACAAATAATTCTTCACATAACACCCTGGCCTGTGTTTCCTTGTGCACATACATGAGAGTTACTGGTCTGGATTTTGAGACATGGCATCATGAGATCCATGGTAACCACATTTCAAATTATAATAGATACTGCCAAATTTCCCTCCAAAGGGACTGGGACAATTTATGTTCCCTCCAATAGTGTATCACAGCATTAGGGTCTCCATTTTCCATTCCTTCATCAGTACTGGAAAAGAACAAAGTGTAACATTTTTGAACTGTGACGACTGCACACTGGTATGCTGCTGTTTGCTGTCCTCTAGCCGGAGCTGGTGTGAAAGAGTGCTTTCCTCTCTGGCCATGGGGCTGTGAGGATGGGCACACAGAGCCTCACAGCCTTGAGAGCAGGTGGATAAATCAACATCCTGAGGGGAGGGGACGTCCCAAGGATGTCCACTCCTTGAAGCCATTTGTTTTATCCCTGTCTCCACAGTAGTTTATGTAAGCCAACACCTTCATCTTTGGGGCTCAAGCTAATTAGAATTTTGTTTCTGTTACTTTCAGCCACAAGACTGAACTCATGATTAAAATGTATAAATGACCATTGTTTCTCTCATCCCTGGCCCTGAGATCACAAAGTTTATGCTGATTATTCTCTCTTATTGTTCTATTTCTCCTCTCCTCCTCATTCCTTACTTTCCTCATGCCCACATTCCTCTCCCCAGGCACCATATTCAGGGGGTTCAGATCACCTGTGGGGTCCTTTTCAGAAAGGGCAGAGGAGAGCAGGAAACAAAGCCCCTGGGAACAGGAGACGGGAGGGGCATGGGCCTGATTCCCCTGTGGAATCTTTCCCGAGTGAACACAGGCACTCTTAGTTTCTGTGCCTAGGCCTTAGGCCAATGTCTCTGTTTTAACAGAAAAAAAAAAAAGAAAGAAAAAGGAAAAGAGTAAAAAAGCAAAAACTAAAAGACACAGTGGAAGAATCTGCCCTCCCTTTTTGTTTTGAATTATCATACCCCCCAGCACTGAGTGAAAACTCATTTTGTTAAAAATTGACATAGCAGTTGCAGCTTCTTAGACACAGACACAACATAAACACATAAACACAGGCTGTGAGTGTTCTTTTGATGGTAGTATGTGTTTATTGTTTTATTTTATTAATAAAAGAGTGAGAACAGGGTACTAAATTATACCCAATCCAAAATAAAAGGAGAGCAGCTCAATATTTACTCCCATAATGACACCAGGTCACCCATCTGTAGGACGCTGGGGCCTGGTTCAGAGCAAGATGCTGTCTCCAGTTGCCATGACCCGAGGTGCTAGAGAGTTCTGAGTGTAACCCTTCTCAGATATGAGCTCATCTCACCCTGGAATAATTCTGAGAAGTAGGAATGGCATAGGGACAACATCCCCATTTCAGAAAGGAGGGGCCCTGGGGAAAGAGGCTGTGTCCTTCAGGGCCAAACAGTGACACAGGAATGGGACAAAAGCCTCCCCTCCCAAGACTAAATGTCTGTGAGAAAACTGCTGGAGAAAGGCTAGCCAGGCAGGGAGCCTGGGTGCAGGAGGTGGAGGGAGGGCGGTGAGCCCCCAGCTTGGCTGCATGTCAGGAGAGCTGGGAGAAGGGTCATGTACCCTGACATTCACAGAGGGGGTGGCACAAGAGAAGCAACTGCAGCCTCTCATTATGACCCAGTAAATCTTCAGTAAAACCCTCTGCCCTGCCATGTTTGGTGGGGAAAAACCGTTTTCTGGAAGCTGCTAAGGGGGCTGAATTTTGCATTACATTGCCTGGGGTCAAAAGAATCAACTCACAAATGAGCTGACTCACAAGCGAGTTGTCTATGAGACACCTGTATGCACATATTTGCTTTATTCACTGCTGTATCCCTGATGTCTACAACAGTGTCTGGCACACAGTGGATGCTCAGAAAATATTTGTGGAATAAACACATAGAACTCTTTACATCTGCAGTCTCTGCCACACCCACCTCTGTGTCTCCCTTCTCCAAAGTCTGGCTTAACATTCACAGAGACTCTGGTGTGGCTGACCCACTCTGTGCCCAGCACTAAAGCCTTGGTTCCCTCCGGGGAACTGAGAGGTCCCTGAGCTTCTGGAGCCGCCTTCTCGGTTATTGCAGGTTTCCTCCCCACCCAGAGTATGTGCAGCGCCCTGACCTGCTGCCCCAGCAGGTTCTCATCAGGACTCCACAGCCCACTCCATGTGTGGGCCGGAGTAGAGAGAGGAAGCTCTCCCAGCGCCACAGTGGGAGCTGCCAGCCTTGTCTTTTGCCTGTGGCCAGGGCAGGACTGTGGACTTTTCATCCCAGTTCTTCAAGCAAAGCTTCAGGCTCGCCCCCTACTGTGAAAGTGGAGGAACTTCATCTGGAGCACAACTCCCGGGCTCCTTGGAGTTCAGCATCCTTGATCACTTTTCTCTGAGCTAGGGTTGAAGCCCCAACGTTCACATGGGTTAGGATATGTGACTACGAGCAAAGCTTCACCTCTCTCAGCCTCAGTTCACTCATCATAAAGGGGGTAGGAAACAGCTGAAAACGCCATCCCTGTTCACCTGACAACAATATGGTGAGGATTAAATAAGGGCAGATGGCCGGACGTGGTGGCTCACAACTGTAATCTCAGCACTTTGGGAGGCAGAGGCGGGCAGATCACTTGAGGTCAGGAGTTCAAGACCAGCCTGGTCAACAGGGTGAAACCCTGCCTCTACCAAAATACAAAAATTAGCCAGGCGTGGTGGCGGACACCTGTAATCCCAGCTACTTGGGAGGCTGAGGCAGGAGAATCACTTGAACCTGGGATGCAGAGGTTGAAGGGGGCTAAGATCATGCCACTGCACTCCAGTCTGGGCAACAGAGTGAGACTCCATCTCCAAAATAATAATAATAATAATAATAAAACAAAAATTAGCTGGGCACGGTGGCTCAGACCTGTAATCCCAGCACTTTGAGAGGCTGAGGTGGGTAGATCACTTGAGACCAGGAGTTCAAGACCAGCCTGGCCAACATGGTGAAGCCCTATCTCTACTAAAAATACAAAAATTAGCCGGGCATGGTGGTGCACACCTGTAATCCCAGCTATTTGGGAGGCTGAGGCAGGAGAATCATTTGAACCCAGGAAGTGGAGGTTGCAGTGAGCTGAGATCATGCCACTGCACTCCAGCCTGGGTGACAGAGTGAGACTCCTTCTCAAAACAACAGCAACAACAAGAAAAAACTACAAATGAGGGCAGACATGTGACAGTTTCTTGCCTTTGTCAGGCTCTGCAAAGCTGTGGGGCTACTGTTTCCTAACAGTAGGCCACTGAACAAACAACAAATATCCACACCTTCGTTGCCTAGACCCAAGGCAGAGCAGGTGCCTTTTCCTCCATACCCCTTAGCCCAGGCTGCCCTGGGTAAGCTCTTGCTGACTGAGGGCTGCAGGCTCCTGGGCTATCTAAAGGGCCTGGACATGACACCCTGGCAGATGCTGCTGGCTAGAGAAGGGGAGCCCTGGTCCCCTCCATTCTTGGGTCACATGATCAGAGGCAGCAGCTATTCACCTGTCCAGGTGGGGAGCCATTGGCATGTGGAAGGCCATAGAAACTCAGGTTAGACGTCTGCTGGGCTGAGACAGAAGCTGGAAGGCCATCAGGGACAGAGCTTGTCTCCCCACACAACCCTGAGCCCCACACAAGGACCCAGGGCAAGTGTGGGGTAAGAGGCTGTTTCTCACTGTGGTCTCAGACAAAGGAAAATCCCCAAGGCCCTGGTGTGCAGGAGTAGTGAGGCACCCCTTGTGGGTTGCCAAATTTAGCAAATAAAAATACAAGACAGACATGCCACTTAGATGTGAATTTCAGATAAGCATCAAGTACTTTTAAAATATAAATATGTCCCATGGAATATTTGAGATATACTTATACCAAACATTATTTGTAATTTATCTGAAATTCAAGTTTAACTGGACATCTCATATTTTATCTGGAAACCCTCCAGACCCTCCAGGGCCAAAAGGGCTCGGGGGACCCAGCCCCTTCCCACAGCCCACAGCCACACCCCACTGGAGGTTCTGGGCACTCTCGCAAGAGGACGCTTCCTGCTCCAGGTGGTGCCAGGTGGTGACCCCAGCAGCCCAGCATGGGTGGAAAGAGGAAAGGGAACGCGGCAGAGGGAAAAGCCAGCAGTCCCCTTAGATTTCACCCTTGAGTGTCTGTGAGGTGAGTCACCTGTCACCTTCACAGGGCCTTGTCCGCATCAAAGGAGGTCATGGTGGCGAAGTGCTTTCACATTACAAATGCCCTTCCCGCGGGGTGTTGTGGCAGGGCCTGCACTGGCCTTTGCTCGGCTCTTAAGGGTTGGCATCCCTGGTGACCCTCCCTTTTCCCTGAGTCATCTCACCCACTGCCTGGCTCCAGTCACATCTATAAGTGGATGGCAACCCACTTAGCACTCCGTCCTCCTTTACAGTAGAATAAATATACACCACTTCTTCAGGGGAAACAGCCTCAGACCCCTATTTTCATGTGCCTACTGGACACCCTCCCAGGAGTCTTTCTGTCCCTGTCCCACCCCCTCTACCACTGCCCACAGGCGGACTCTGCCAGCTCTTCTCTGAATAACAGAGGCAGCCCCCAGCTTGCCCTGCCCCAGTTCCCTGCCCACATCACACCCAGGGGTGGGTTTCTAAAATCCAGTCTGACCATGGCGTTCCACTGCATAAGACCCTTCCATGGCTTCCTCTTGGTCTTGGGATAAAGTCAAAAGACCTTATCTGTCTTCTGCTCTCATACAGACATATTTCTTGTCATGTCACCAACTGGCCAGTGCTGTCCCTATTCTCCAGCCCACTGTCCCACTAAATGCCCCCAGCCCACTGTTCCACTGTCCCTGCCCAGCCTGCCCTTCCCAACATTCCGTGTCCCCTCAATGCCCTTCACTTCCTTTCCTTTACTAGTGAAAGGATTAGTGGAGCTCCAACGTCCATCCCTGAAGAATGGGGATATTCGCCTTCCTACCAGGCTTCCTAGGGTCTGGGAGAGAATCAAATGAGAAAGGGGATGTAAAACTATTTTGTAAACTGAAAAAGGTTTGTAAGAGATGAAGAAGAATAAAATGACCAATGGTCTGGGAGAGCCTTGTAAACTTCCTTATCAGCTGACCTCAGAGGCCCACAAGAAGCACAGGGGACAACCATGTGAGGGGACTGGGGAAACTGTGGCATTTGAGCCGGGAAGCGTGATTGGGGGGTAATGCTTTGGGTTGGGATGGAGAGCGTCATTCATTACTGGAGCAGCCATAACCTACTTGTGAAGTCTGTGTCTGCACGAGAACCCCTAGGGAGACAGGGGTAGTGACAAGGGGGTGCAGGATGGTGGGGCTTCGGCCCCTTCCTTCCAGCTTAGCCAGGTGAGTCATCCGGAGGTACCGGCCCAAATCTCACCTCCTCCACTTGAGGCTGAGCAGAAATGGTCCAGAGGATGTGCCCAGAGGATGGAGACAGCAATACAGTGAATGAGTCATAGAGCTGAGTCAGAGCCCACTCAGCCCCTTTCAGGGCTCTGACGAAGGCTGTGCCAGCACAGCGGCGTTCTTCCAGCCTTGCCCCTTCCCTGCACACACAAACACACACATACACACACACACACACACACACACCTACAGACCAGTGACCTCACAACATGCTTCTGATTGCTAGCCTTACTTACTTCACAGGTTCAGTGAAATCCTACTGAGTCTCCCATGTAACAGGCTTTCTTTATGCTCACACTCACTCATTCATTCATTCATTCATTCACTGTTCAGGTACTGGAATAAAAACCCAGTCCTTGCCTTCAAAGAGCTCTCCAGCCAGCAAAGGAAACACAGTCTCCAACCATGCCTTGTCACTGCAGAGGGAGCAAGGCATGGCCATGGGAGAGCCTCACACACCATCAGTATCCGGGCTGATAGAGGAGGGAATGAGGGACACAACCCCTCATAGTGGGATGGGTCAAGAAATCACTGCTGTAAACATCTGGTCCCAGGACTCCCAAGCCTGGTACCCTCTACTTCCCACTGGAAACATCAAGCCTAAAGGTGCATCTACACAGATTCAGACAACATTGTTTCCTTTTTCTTCCAATTAATGTGGCTACTTTGACATATGTAGGAATAGCCTAAGCTAATGGTCACAGAACAGGTTCCGGTCTGATCTGTTTTCAATGTGAAGACTGAATTTTGGCTTTGAATCAGCAGCAGAGCCACCGGATTATATACGAAAATTTGCAATATCAAAACTGGGATAACTTCGAAGTTATCTAATTCCAGGCTCAGTGCTTCGTTTCTTAGGAGTAGAAACTCAAATCCAGAGAGGAAAAATGAAGCAGAGTCTTCTGATAATTTCCATCTGTTTTCTAGTCCTTAAGTAAATATAATTTTTACTACAAAAATAAACCACATTAGAGGCCGGGTATGGTGGCTCACACCTGTAATCCCAGCACTTTGGGAGGCCGAGTGGGCAGATCATGAGGTCAGGAGTTCGAGACCAGCCTGGCCAAGATGGTGAACTCCTGTCTCTACTAAAGATACAAAAAATTAGCTGGGTGTGGTTGCGGGTGCCTGTAATCCCAGCTACTCGGGAGGCTGAGGCAGGAGAATCACTTGAACCTGGAAGGCGGAGGTTGCAGTGAGCCGAGATCGCACCACTGCACTCCAGCCTGGGCGACAGAGTGAGACTCTGTCCCAAAAATAAAAATAAATAAATAAATAAATAAACAAACAAGTAAACAAATAAACAAACCACATTGGAGAATAAAAAAGAAAAACAGCCGGGTGCTATGGCTCATGCCTGTAATCCCAGCACTTTGGGAGGCCAAGGCAGGCGGATCACCTGAGGTCAGGAGTTCAAGACCAGACTGGCCAACATGGTGAAACCCCATCTCTACTAAAAATACAAAAATTAGCTGGGCGTGGTGGCATGCACCTGTAGTCCAAGCTACTCAGGAGGCTGAGGCAGCTGAATCTCTTAAACCCAGGAGGTGGAGGTTGCAGTGAGCTGATATTGCACCAATGCACTCCAGTCTGGGTGACAGAGCAAGACTCTGTCTCAGAAAAAAAAAAAAAAAAAAGAAAAACCACATTAATCTCAATATACTAACATAACCATTGATATCATTTTGCTACTATTCCTTTACAAATTCTGTTCACACAGCTGTAATCATACAATATATATAATTTTGTATATTACTTTTTAAATTTGACTTTATGTTCTAAGAACTTCCACCACATTTTTGCACTTTGTAACCATCATTTTAATCACTATATAATATTCCAGCAAGGAAATGTTCTTAATTTTTTTCATGACTTACTTAACCATTTCCTTATTGGAGGACATTTAAGCGATGCCCCAAATATGGCTATCATAATGCTAAATATTGCTGTTTTCATTTATTTATTTCCCTGGGGTAGAGAGACTTCCATAAATGGAATTGCTATGAAGTAAAAGGTGGGAACATTTTAAAGTCTCTTGGTACATGTTAACAAATTGCCTTAAGACTGTACTAATTAAGCTGAGTACAGTGGCTCACGCCTGTAATCCCAGCACTTTGGGAGGCCAAGGTGGGCAGATCGCTTGAGATCAGGAGTTTGAGACCATCCTGGCCAACATGGTGAAACCCTGTCTCTATTAAAAATACAAAAATTAGGTGACATGTGCCTGTAATCCCAGCTACTCGGGAGGCTGAGGCAGGAGAATTGCTTGAACCCAGGACGGGGAGGTTGCAGTGAGTCAAGATCACGCCACTGCGGTCCAACCTGGGCAACAGTATATGATGGCTTTAAATAGAACAATAACTTCTCCATTTCAACATGTGACCAAAATGTTTATACCTTCTGACCCACCAATTCCATCGCTAGAATTCTGGAAATAATCATCAGGTGTGCCCTGCCATGTCAGGATATCCACTGAAGAATATGATGGTATGATATCAGGTATCTTAAAATGTACATATGTATTAAAGTCTATGAAGAGGGGGCTTATCAGAGAAAGACTTCTATATTTTACTATATATACTTCTGTGTTGTTTTCATCTTTCACAATGAACACCTATTACTTTTATAGTTTGCCAAATGACAAAGATATTTCCATTTTGGAGACAAACACAGAAACCAGCACACCAATTTTCGTTTGCAGTGAACATGCTGGTTAAGTGCATCAGAATCTCAGCTCTAAACCTTACATGACCCTGAGTTTTCTGTCAAATGCTGATGATATCAATGTCATAGGGTTATTATGTCACTTAAGTGAAATAATTCCTGGAAAATACTTAGCACAAAGCCTTGCATTTAGTAAGTATTCATGAATATTAGCTATATTATTATTTTATTCTGACATTTCTTTTAGTCTGTGGAGGCCTCTACTCCCCTACTCACAATCTCAGCCACTATTTCCTACTGCTTATCCCAATAACAAGTGGCCTTTCCAAGCCTGCGTGATGCCACATCAGCCACACACCTCTCCTTATGATTCTGTTTGGCAAGTCATAAGCTGTTAGCCCCAGGGCAACACAGAGGCAGGAGGCAGGAGGGAAGGAGTGCAGCACATATGTGCGTGGGCAGGGCCCTGGAGCACGAACCAATGCGATGAGGACGCACAGCACTGGGAACCGGCAAAAATGAGCGAGACGGTTTTCAGGAGAGCAACAGCTGGCAGGGGAAACACCCAGAGAAGTAAAAATATCAGATTTTTAAAAACTGAAAATCTCCAAGCACCTGTAATGCTTCATGCTTACTTTCAGAAAAAAACAAAAACAAACAAACAACAAAGACGAAACTCACTTTTTAGAAAGAAAAGCCGGGTGGAAGAGCACTAAGCTGAGAGGCACTGGCTGGTTAGGGGTAAGAGCCGGGACGCTGCAGTTCGGGTCTGGGTCTGGATTCTGGCTTTTCCACACGCTGGCTCTGTGAACACTGCCAAGCTGATTCATCTTTTGTGTCTCAGTTTTGTCATCTATAATATGGGGATAATAACAGTGCCTAGCTTACGGAGCTGTGAGGCTTGAAGGAGCTAATATGCACATATACACGCTCTGTAAGGGCCGCCCCTTATCATTTAAGTACATGCCTGTTTGCCCTTGACGGGGCTGTGTAGCAGAGCGCCCAGCTGGACGAATCTCCCAGCCAGTTGGGGAGCCCCTCTGAGGGTCATTCCTGCGGATGTGGCCGTCGGGAGGACCAGCCCGTTTGCAGACCAAGCTTTTGCTTCCTCTCATCCCTCCTGAGGAAGACCCTGGGAAAGGAATGCTCTTCCTGCGGGCCCTTCCTCAGACACCAGGCAAACGGGTGAAGGTGCAGAGGTCGGCGGTGAGGAGGGGCCCCTGCGGTCTGCCAGGGTGAGGCTGACCTCCAGGGCTGCAGCTGCTCGGGGGGCCTTTGGCCGGGTTGCCCAGGAAGGCAATGAGGGCTCCCAGGCAGCTTACTGTGCGGGGCCGACCCCAGCAGAGGAGCAGGGCCTGGTCAGGGGCTGGAATGGGAGAAAACAGAGGGGCCCTTGGGGAGGAAAGGGCCCCAGGAGGGAGGCAGTAGGGTAAGTAGGGGGCTGTGAGGAGGCGGGGGCAGGAGGCTGTAGGGGAGGTAGGAGACTAAAGGCGGGGGGAGGGGGGCTGAGGAGAAAGAGGGCCTACAAGGAGGGGGAAAGGAGAGGTGGGATGTGGGGAAGAGGAGGAAGGAGGACTGAGGGCAGGGGGTGGGGACACGGAAGGGGTGTAGGAGGAAAGGGGGTGAAGGTGAGATAAAGGGGAGGGGAGGAAGGGAAGGGGGCAGGGAGGGAGCAGAGAGGGGTGGAAGGGGCAGGAGCCCAGGTATGTGGGGCGTGGGCAGGGGGAGGGAGGGGGGAGGTGAGGGAGTGTGGGAGAGGAGTGGATCCGGGAGGACCAGCCCAGGTGTCGGGGGAGCGGGTCGGGGTGGGGGGAGGTGGGGGCCGTAGGGGAGGGAAAGAGAGGAAGAGGGAAGGGGTGTGGGGAGGGGGGAGGGGGCGGAGGGAGGGTGCCCTGCTCTCGCCTCCTCCCGCCCCGGGCCGCCCCGGCCTCTGGGCCCCTCTGGCCGGGCGCCACCCACGCGCCTCCGATGCAGCGTCAGGCAGCCGCTGGGGAGGACGCGGCGGGAGCCTCAGATGCCACCTACTCCCCGGCCTCTCTCCCAGTTGATGCTTCTATTTTAGGCAGCACATTATTTCCTGCTGTGATTTTTTCAGCCTTCTAATTTGGGCTCTGAGGTAAGCCGTGACATCCGCCGCGCGCCCGCAGCCCCCTCCCGGCCCGGCGGCGCGATCCTGCCCGAGCCCCGCGCCCTCCGGCCGCGCCTGCGTCTTCACGGAGCCACTCGGCCAGGCCTGCCCCCCAAACAGGCTCCCGGGAGGAGGGCTTCTCCCCCGTGCAGGGTGAAAGAGTCCAGCACGAGGGATTTCTAGGCAAAGATTTAGAAAAAGTGACGGGGACAGGGATACATTGCACCATGGTGTCCCCGGTCCGGGCAGGGGACTGCAGATGCTTCCATATCGGAGGTTTAACACGTTTTTTTTCTGGACACGGGCCCCTTTGAGAATCTGATGACGGCCTTGCATCCTGTCCCCAGAGTGTCCAGAGCAAGCCCACGGCCCACACAGACACTGGGATTCTGCCTGTAGCTTCAGGCCCTCACCTCCTGACACTCTAGGGGCGCCAGGACCCCAGGCTAAAAGCCCAGCTCCGAGGTCGAATACTGTATCTGCCTGCTCCTGCCAGTCTCATCCCAAACCGACTCACTGCTCCCTACGTCTCGGTCTCCTCTCCCTCTATCGGCCTCTTTACTTTTGTTTGTTTGTTTGTTGTTTTTTGAGACAGAGTCTTGCTCTGTCGTCCAGTCTGGAGTGCAGTGGCGCAATCTCCGCTCACTGCAACCTCCGCCTCCCGGGTTCAAGCGATTCTCCTGCCTCAGCCTCCCGAGTGGCTGGGACTACAGGCCTGCGCCAACACACCCAGCTAATTTTTACATTTTTGGTACAGATGGGATTTCACCATATTGGCCAGGCTGGTCTCAAAACTCCTGACCTCAAGCTATCCGCCCTCCTCAGCCTCCCAAAGTGCTGGGATTACAGGCGTGAGCCAGCCTGCCCCAGCCCCGGCCTCATTACATTTAATCAATTTTAAAACTGTCTTTGTATGGGTAAGGATCTCACCCCCAAGTGGGCAGATAGAGGTCACATTGGTAGCTGGCCTGCTCTTCAGGTCTCTGGCCTAGTTCATTACCTGGGTCCTGCTGGCATCTGGTAGCGAAAGGACACTGCATTTGGATTCCAGGAGACTTGGGTTCCAATTACATACTTAGTAGTTTCATTCCCTTGGCCTCCCTGAGCCCCAACTTCATCTGTGCAATGGGGAATTGTAATAAAGCTTCCCTCACAAGACTAAGTGAGTCAGTGCACAGGGAGGCACCTTTCAAATGCACCTCCCTGTCAAAGGAGAAGGCCTAGTTTACTTTTTTTGAGTAACTCACACTTGTCTGTTGCCCCTCATGGTGGGCAGCATCCAATAAAGTTTTGTGGTCGTTTTTATTTATTTATTTATTTATATTTATTTTGTTTATTTATTTATTTATTTTGAGACCGAAGTCTCACTCTGTTGCCCAGGCTGGAGGGCAGTGGCTTGATCCCGGCTCACTGCAAGCTCCGCCTCCCGGGTCCATGCCATTCTCCTGCCTCAGGCTTTGGAGTAGCTGGGACTACAAGCGCCCGCCACCACGCCTGGCTAATTTTTGTATTTTTAGTAGAAAAACGGGGTTTCACTGTGTTAGCCAGGATGGTCTCGATCTCCTGACTTTGTGATCCACCCACCTCGGCCTCCCAAAGTGCTGGGATTACAGGCGTGAGCCACCGTGCCCGGCCTGTGGTCATTTTTTAAACTAAAGATGGGTAAACTATGACTGGGCACAGTGGCTCACGCCTGTAATCCCAGCACTTTGGGAGGCCAAGGCGGGTGGATCACTTGAGGTCAGGAGTTCGAGAACAGCCTGGCCAACATGGTGAAACCCCGTCTCTACTAAAAATACAAAAATTAGCCAGGCGTGATGGAACATGCCTGTAATACCAGCTACTCAGGAGGCTGAGACACGAGAATTGCTTGAAGCCAGGAGATGGAGGTTGCAGTGAGCCAAGATGGCACAACTGCAGTCCAGCCTGGGTGACACAGCGAGACTTATCTCAAAAAAATAAATAAATAAAAAATAAAGATGGGTAAACTGAGTCCAAAATAAGGAAGTGATGTGAGATGAGCCATCCTATCTCCAGAATAATGAGTGAGCAGTCAAGAGCCCATCCCTAGGCAAATGCAGAGCAGCTAGCTTGGGAGTCAGCCTTGGAGGCCAGCCTGGTCTTCAGTCCACAGCCCCTTTTCCCACAGGTGTTAAAAAGGGTTCCACAGTCTCATCCACCCCACGGACTCCGTCCCTACCACCTGCAAATTCGCCTTCCTCCGTCTTTATTAGAGCTTCTATTTTCTCTGGCGTGCCCTCTGGTTACTGTCCTAATGCCTTCTGCCTGCCTTGGGAGATGTCTGCAGTTTTACTCCAGCTTGGTTCTCTTCCTGCCCCTCTGATTGCTCCTTCTCTAGTGCTGGCTCCTCTTCCTTTCCTGAGCTTTTTTTTTTTTTTTTTTTTTTTGTAAGATGGAGTCCTGCTCTGTCTCCCAGGCTGAAGAGCAGTGGCACAGCTCACTGCAGCCTCCACCTCCCATGTTCAAGTGATTCTCCTGCCCCTCAGCCTCCCAAGTAGCTGGGATTACAAGCATACACAACCACTCCCGGCTAATTTTTGTATTTTTAGTAGAGACGGGGTTTTGCCATGTTAGCCAGGCTGGTCTCGAACTCCTGACCTCAAGTGATCTGCCCGCCTTGGCCTCCCAAAGTGCTGGGATTACACGTGTGAGCCATCATGCCCAGCCCTGAGTTTTTTTTTTTCAAGGGTGCCTATTATCCAGTGTTTATCATGCTGCCCTCAGTTCCCTATTCCTGGCCTTCTGCCTCTGGGAGAGGGACCTCATTGCTTTTGGTGGTTCCAGTTGTCTCCTCTAGGTTACCAGCTCTGACCTCTTGACTCCCAGTCCCAATTTCAGCTGCCCATTGGACAACTCTAAACTTAAGCCCTGTTGTCATCTCAAACTCAACATATCTAAAAATGAGTTCCTCATCTTCCCACAAAGCAGCTTTCCCAGCTGGTTTCCCTTTTCTGTTTGGTACATGACCATTCTCACCCAGGCACAAAGCTTTCATCAACTTTGACTCTTCTCCTTTCCTCTTCTACCTGCATGTAGGCACCAAACCCTGTGCATGCCTCCCTTGGGGTCTTGCTCTGGTATCCAACTCTTCCTTCCTTTTCCCATCTGTAGTCATCTATTGCTAGCCCTCAGCTCCAACGTTCCCAGTAGCTTCGTGGCTGTTTTCTCTGCCCATAGTCTCTCCATCCTCTAAAATGGGTTGACATCTGAACCAAGACCCACCTCCATTAGAGACTTCCTTTGAACATAGACCCTTTGAGCAGCGTTAGCACATCTTGCCTGTTCCATTCACTCTGCCAATTCCTCCAATCTTGCCAAGTGACATGCCTCCTATGGTTATTTAACTTTTCACATTTTTTACCCAAATGAGAAGCTCCTAGAGGTCTTTCCCAGCCCCTGATCTGAGCTTGCTCAGGGCCAGCTGGGACCCCGGTGCTACAACCTGGCACTTAACACAAGTGCTTCTGATTCCTCATGGTCTCCACTATTTTTCAATCTGGCTCACTTGAGCTCTTTTAAATTAACCGAGGAGTGCCCTTCACCCAGAAGCAGAGAGCCCAAATTCCAATGCCTGCAGGGGCCAGGCAGGTCATGACATGGGTGAGGCAAGGCAGGTGCACAATGATAGGGAGTGGCAGGACGTGGCGTCTAGACCCCAGGTCCCCAGTCTAGAGCAGTTGTTACTACTTAGGCCCCCTTTATGGATATCAGGCCCGGTGTGTTCAGAGTTTCCAATTTTTTTTTTAAATAAATACCAAATTTGGATTTTAGATTAAATTTCTCAACTTCTAAAATACTGTGCAAACCAAACAAAATACTGCTGCAGGCTAAGTTCAGCCTGCAGGTAACCCTGGATATAAAGATTTCCTGCTTTGTAATAATTCTTAGGTGGCAGAAAGCAGTTTGGATTGGGAGTTTCTAGTTCTGGTTATACCAGTAATGAGCTAAATAATCTTCAATAAGTTATATCCTTTCTCTGGGACCTCAGTTTCCTCATCTGTACAATGAAGGATCCCATTAAATGATCCCCAAGGCCTTTTTTTTTTTAACTTGGTAATTCTGTGGTTCTGTGGCTTATTCTAAATGGTGGGGAAATCCTGTTTAATTGAATTTTCTGGTGAATGAGAATTACCATAAATACACACTGTATGTGGATTACTACATTTCAGAGAACTAGAATACAATAACTCTTTGGTTAACTGAAATTCTCCAGCGTTAACTGGAAAATCCCCTTTTAATCAAGGTTATTGTTGAGAGGCTTTCTAAAATACCAGAGTTCAGTTTCCTGCCTTTCTAAGCACAGGAGATGTAGCAATACTGGGCAAGGGGATCTGATGAGTCAATGTCTGGGGATGGCTCTGCCACCTGAGCTGAAGGAGTCAACAGCAGGGTGACCCAAGAGGATCTCCCAGCCAGGGCGCTGCTCACATAGCAGAGTTATCTATAAGTTAAGGACCACCTGGCTGGTGCCATAGATAACTATACTGAGGACCTCACCAGCCTTTTGCAAGACTCGGACACCCAGGTTTAACATCCACTTTTGGAGCATACCTCATTTCTAAGCTGATGAATAGTTGAAAACTGGCATTGCCTGGAATGTGCATCAAGGCTGACTGCCACCCAGAGCTCCTTCCCACTGAAAACAGTGAAAGCGCTTTGGAACCCAGCAGATCTTGATTTGAATTGAGTCTTACACTTCCCAGCTGTGTGACTTTAGGCGCGTGCCTTAACCTTTCTGAGTCTTAGTTTCCTCATCTATAAATTGGAGACAATACGCTCTCATAGAGTTGTTATGAGGACTGAGTAAAATCATGTGCGCTAAATGGCTGATGTGATGTTTGAGATTTAGTAAGTGCTGGGTAGGTAAATGGAAATCATTCCATTAGGAATTAATACCTTTTATCATGTAAAATCCCATCTGATTCTCCAGATTTTTACTTAGTAAGTAAGGTCAGAAAGTCAATAGCAGTCACCTTCCACCTCAATAGCCATTTGAGAAACAAATTGTGCATAATTAGATCTCCTGCTCCATCCACCCTTCCATTCCACCCTATCATCTTGGAATAGAGATACCAGCCTGAAAATCAGAACCAAGATCTTGATTTAGGGCCAGGTGTGGTGGCTTACACTTATAATCCCAGCGCTTTGGGAGGATGAGGCGGGAGGATCATTTGGGCCCAGGAGTTTTGAGGTTACAGTGAGCTATGATCGCGCCACTCCAGCCCGAGCAACAGAGTGAGGTCCTCTCTCTCTATAAAAACAAAACAAAACAAAAACTCTATTTTGCAACTGTCATAGTAATAATTGATCCAGTCAAGAATCATCAAAGGATGCAAGTTTGATATGGACAAGATAGTCATAGGCTTAAATATTTACCCTCTCCCCCAATTACTTATTAATTACAAAAGGAAAAAATAATAACTTTTCAGTGGAGAAACTTGGCAAGTATCTCCTTAAACATGAGATCAAAGTTAACATCACCAGGCCTGGGACAAACAGACATCACGTGGCTCCTGATATGATGTACTGAGGCCCCGGCATCACTTCTGTGAGATTCCTGCCAGCAAATGCTTAACCTGGGTCTAATTATCAGCACACATCAGACTAGCCCAAATTGAAGGGCATTCTATAAAACAACTGGCCTATACTCTTGAAAAATATCAATATCATGAAAGACAAAGAAAGGCTGAGGAACTCTTCTAAATTAAAAATTAAAGAAACACAGTGACTATGTGGAATGTATGATCTGGATTGGATTCTGGGCGAGAAACAAATCTCTATTAAGGACATTATTTGGAGAATTCAATAAAGTTTAATATTGAGTACATATTAAAAAATAGTTTTAAACAGAGTTCAGTCTTGTAATCCCAGCACTTTGGGAGGTCAAGGTGGGTGGATTGCTTGAAGCCAGGAGTTTGAGACCAGCCTGGGCAATAAAGCATGACCCTGTCTCCACAAAAAAAATTTTTTAAATTAGCCAGGCACGGTGGTGTGCACCTACAGTTCCAGCTACTCGGCAGGCTGAGGCAGGAGAATTGCTTGATTGCCCAGGAGGAGTTTGAGGCCACAGTGAGCTATGATCACACTGCTACACTCCTGCCTGGGTGACAAAGCAAGACCCTGTCTCTAAAAATAAAATAAAATAACTATTATATCTATGTTAAATTCCCTGATTATGTAATAGAATGTCTGTGTTCTTGGGAAAGTATTTAAGGGTAAAAGGAATAGTGTCTGCAACTTACTCTCAAAAGGTTCAACAAAAGAAAATAAGTATAAACAGGTATGTACACACTCAGAGAGAATATTAAAATGTAGCAAAGTTTAACATTTGGTGAACCTGAGTGAAGGAGTTCTATGCGCCAGACTTGCAGTTTTTCAGTAAATTAACATTATTTCAAAGTAAAAAGTAAAAAAGAAAAACAGAGCCAAAGCGCCATGCCCAGAGCCTGGCGTCCTCTGCCCCCACACCATGGCGAAGTAGAAAGAGCCCTGACTTAGACACAGGTTCAAATCCAGGCTCCCAACTGTAAGATATTTCATCCCCAGGCTTCTGTCTCCTCACCCTAAAAGGAAGATAATAATACAGTGTCTCTCTCTTAGGGATGTTAAGGAGACTTAAATGAGGTAGTCTATGTAAAAACCCTGGCACCTGCCAAAAAATTATTCACATACTCTCCAAGTATATGCTGCCAATTGCCCAGAAGTGATAAATACCAACAGAATTCTTACTCTCACGTAGCTTATCTTCTAGTCAGAAGATGGAAAATAAATGACTAAATAAGCAGGCAGGCATAATTCCAAACAGTATAAATTCTGTGAGGGGAATGGAGTGTGGCGGTAGAGATGGGGAGAGATGGGGGTGGGGGGCGGCCCTGCCCTATACAGGGTGGTCAGGGAAAGCCTTCCAAGGAAATAACATTTAAGCTGACCCTGAAGAACAAGAAGGAGGGAGAGGCTGACAATGTAGGTGGTGGAACAGCAGGAACAAAGGCCCCGGGGTGGGCAAGGGCTCGGTGTATGCAAGGAACTGTCCGTCCCTTCTCTCCTTTGCTAGACCACCTCATAATTCCGTGTGTGTTCCTTGACGGAAGGGGCAGCAGAGCACCCAGCACTGGATACTCAGTGTCAGATGAGTGAACAAGCAAATGGCTGATGTCTGGTTTCAATGTTTGCCTACGAGGAGATGTACTCCGCTCCCAGCTCTTAGCCTCACCATGCAGTGGAAGGGAAGGAGGCTTCTGAACTGGCAGCTCTACATTCTTCCCCTCTCTGTGCAACTTGTTTAGATCACAGAACTGGAAGGGACCCCAAAAATCCCATTCTCCCACCCCTCCGATTAGAGAGGAAGAAACAGAGGCCCAGACTCAACAGACTTGCCAAAACCCATGGACCTGGTTGGGGGCCCACATCTAGCACTTTCCCCAGCCTCACAGCCTGCCTTGTTTATTTGTTCAGCAGTTTTTGTTTCGCCATGGCACAGCTTGTTCCGACTCTGGAACATTTATGAGATGAGCCAATTTTTAAAAATCATAGAAAATAAATGGTTTGCTCTTGGAGCTGAAGGGCGGGGCAGCCAGGGTGGGAGACAGGTTCCAGGCCAGTTCTGGGGCAGAATTTTGGCTTATCCTTTGCTGTGTTTTTTTATTCTCCTGCCTTGGGAACCAAAAGGATTTCAGTGGGATTTCCTGCCTCGATTTCTCCAGTACTATGATATGGAAAGACTAGAACATTCAACCATACACTTTCTGATTCTCACCTCCACCATCATTAGTTCCATTCCAAACTCTGGCTCCTACCCATTGAGTTCAAGCTACAGCCTGATTCAACTGATCAACCTGGGGATGGTGGTGTCAGGACTAGCACCTGGACCATTCTGCCTCCTCTGCCTGCAACATCCTCTCTATCTGCTTGTGAACTCTTCTCCTTCAAAACCCAGCGGTTACGTCACCACTTCTAAAACCTTGAACTGATTCCCCACGTAGTCGGCCAGCTACTTTTTAAATTTAAAAAAGCCCAACCAGAATAAACAGGATAGCTAAAATGCTGAATTTCTTTGCTTTTTTTTGACTGGATATTAACTCAGTGTACTAATGTTAGCTATTATCTTGTGTTATTTGATCATAATTTATTTGCAGATATGTAAATATGTGATTACCAAAAACTTGTAAATGAATACTTGCTAAATTCAATTTTTTTGGCCAACAAAAATAATTTATTTAAACGTTAATTATGTCCAGGATGGTAGAGGGAGTGGGATAAGGATGACACAAGGACTCCTGGTGGTAAAAAGGTGACTCTAAGGTCCTATCTAGCCTTTTGATACAACATGGCTGGCTCATTTCCCCAAAAGGCCTGGTACATAGTAGGTGCTCAAAAAGTATGCATTATATGTATAAGTCCGTGAGGACGATTACACTCTCTGACCCTGGGGTCAATGAAGCTTCTGTCAACCCCAGTTGAATGTCCCATGAGGGGCCAGGCTAAGAATCCATTCAAGAGCTGTCCTAGGCCAGATACAGTGGCTCACACCTGTAATCCCAGCACTTTGGGAGGCCAAGGCAAGCAGATCACCTGAGGTCAGGAGTTTAAGACCAGTCTGGCCAACATGGTGAAACCCTGTCTCTACTAAAAATACAAAAATTAGCCAGGCATGGTGGCGGGCGCCTGTAATCCCAGCTACTCGGGAGGCTGAGGCATGAGAATCCCTTGAACCAGGAGGTGGAGATTGCAGTGAGCCAAAATCACTCCACTGCACTCAATCCTGGGCAACAGAGCGAGACTCTTTCTCAAAAAAAAAAAAAGGAGCTGTCCTAGCTTCAGGCTTTTTCTCCCTAACTGGGCGACATGCCCATTCTTAGCATTCTTAGTACTAAGATTGGTGAGATCCTGGGGATGGATAGGGCAGTGTGTTCTGAAGCCCTTTCAAGGAGCAGGGGCAGCAGCCTGGGTTCTGATGCCCATTCCAACTCCCTCTGCCCCTTTGCTCAAGGCAGTTCCCCAAGCAGCAGTCTGGCCAGCTGTGGGAGGTGCTGTTCACCACTTCCAAGATTAGCTCAGACCTTAAAAATCACAGCCCAGCTCCTGCCCTTCTCGTGCCAAGGAAAACAGTAGATGTCAGAAGCCTCCTTAGGTATCTGGAAGGGAACAGCTCCTTCTGCTCCCTCCCTTCCTTGTATGAGGTCATTGAATCAGGATGACAAAGCAAACAGTGACATGTGTTGGGACTTGTTCCCAGACTGATTCCAGGATTTCTCCAGCCCCTCCCACCTCCCCACCCTCAGAATGGCAGACCCAGGTGTGGACAACAAACTGAATAGAACTTGGTCCTTGGGATCCTGGGAAATAGGGGCTAGTTGTGAGGCACTTCCTGGGGTGGTGAAGAGGAAGCCCTGGATAGACCTTGGTAAAAGAGGAAATTGGGATATCAGCCCCACGGGCTATTTGCACGGTGTGTTCCGGGCTTCAGCATGTTTCTACATATTTTAATGTGAGTTTAGGAGGGTAGGAGTTCTTTTTCAACTTCACAGATGAGGAAACAGCCTCATTTAAGGTCAGCAGTTTAATCAGGGTTACATGACTTAAGTGTGACAGAGCCAGACTTGAAGTGAGGTTTGTGACTAATGAGTTTTGTTACATTTTCCCACCTCACCACAGTTCCTTGAACTTGTCATTGGTATATCTGTTTCAGGCTTTCTGCCTTGTGGCATACCACCATACTATTATTTACATAATATTTTTCTTAAATAAACACAATTTAAAAGTTAACCTCATTCTGCCCATTATTCTAAGTTAAGTAACTCAGGAATGGAAAACGAAACATTGTATGTTCTCACTTATAAGTAGGAGCTAAGCCATGAGGACGCAAAGGCATGATTTATATAGTGGACTTTGGGGACTCGGCTGGGGAAGGTTGGGAGGATGGTGAAGGATAAAAGACTAAGTATTGGGTACAGTGTACACTGCTCAGGTGATGGGTACACTAAAATCTCTTTAGAAATCACCACTAAAGAACTTACCCATGTGACGGGTGTGGTGGCTCACACCTGTAATCCCAGCACTTTGGGAGGCTAAGGTGGGTGGTTCTCAAGCCCAGGAGTTCAAGGCCAGCTTGGGCAATATATTGAGACCCCATCTCTCTTAAAAAAAAAAATTTACCCATGTAACCAAATACTTACCTGTACCCTAAAATCTGTTGACATAAAAAAGTTAACTTCATTCTAAGCTGCAATACATATGTGTGTATATATGTGTACATATATATTAAAATGTACATATATATTTTAATATGTATATGTAATGTGACATATTACATTTATACTGTTTATATGTATTTATATGTGTAGCTACTAAAATTAAACATTTTCATCCTCATCCCCTAAAGTCGACTCTCGTGACACCAGGGACACTCGTGTATACTTTGGAAAACTGTCTCACAACCTCTCTGTATTACGAAGGATGCAGCCAAGTGGCTGCCCTTGTTGAAATGCTCAGCCAGTAGGATCACTCATAGCCACCACTGTCTTTGTTAGGGCCGTGCCTCAAAATCACAAAATTATTGAATCATGGAGGATAAGAGATAGATCATGGACTCTAACTCTGGAGAAGGTGTTATACAACACACCCAGCCATAGCCCTAAAGATTAAGGGGCACCATTCAGGGATATAAAGATGAATCAGATATAGTCCTTGCTCTTAAAAACTCACTAAGCTTACAGACATAAACAATTGAAAACTAGAAGGACTAAGCAAAGGAACAGAAATGAAAGAAACTCACATCTAGATGTAGTTCCACCACAAACTCGGTGTGCCTTTGAGCAAGTCACTTCATGTGTCTAGCCTCAGGTTTTTTTTGTTTTTGTTTTTGTTTTTTGAGATGGAGTTTCGCTGCAATGCCCAGGCTGGAGTGCAATGATGCAATCTGGGCTCACTGCAACCTCCACTTCCTGGGTTCAAGTGATTCTCCTGCTTCAGCCTGAGTAGCTGGGACTACAGGCAGGGGTCACCATGCCTGGCTAATTTTTGTATTTTTTGTAGAGACGGGGTTTCACCATATTGGCCAGGCTGGTCTCGAACTCCTGACCTCAGGCGATCCACCTGCCCCAGCCTCCCAAAATGCTGGGATTACAGGTGTTAGCCACCCTGCCCAGTGCCTCAGTTTCTTTAAACAGAGGTAATTAACATCTGTTTTTACCTTTTAAGTCTAATAGGGGATTCGGATTTTTTTTTTTAACAAGTGTGAAAAAAATCCTCTGTAAACTGTAAAGCTGAAATATAGTGTGTAAGGAATAAATATGCAATGCCCAAAGTCCTCCATAGAATATTGGCATTATAAATGGAGAGCGACTTTCTCTAAGTGAAATTAAGCACTGGAAAAGGCAGTTTTGGAGGAGAGTTGGGAGCACCATTTGGGCCTGACCGGTGTCTCTGGCTAACTTTCTGCTGCCAGGTCTTGGGTCCAGGAATGTCTGTGAGCGAAACTAGCTTGCTGCTCCTAACTTTTTCACAATCCTCCTTTTTTTCTGATTCTTACTCTTTCTTCTGCTTTGAAACCTTTATCTTCTTTCAGCCCCTTGTGCAAGCTGACCGCATTGTAATGGGTCTATACTGCCCCCTTGTGGTCACTCCCTGCCGTGGTTGCATTAACTTCTGACGGGGTGTGCGTGATAAAGGCAGACCTGAGGAAACCCAACCAACCCCAGCTAAATGCAGCTGGTCCTGGAAAATCCAAATTAAAGCCAGCTGCTGGAGTGCAGCGCTCCTTGATGGGAAGGAGTAGTTCATGCCTGGTTTTGCCCCAAGTAGGACATAAATCCAGCCCTCTGGATTAAACTTGCTAAAATGGTCAGTTCCTAGACTATCCAGCTTGTCTGGAGCAAGGTCCTGGAACTAAAAGTGGCTAGAAGGTATCCCTTCTCTGACAGAAAAACCCAAGGATAGGAAGGGCTGGGGCTAGGACCTGCCCTTCAGCCCTCCACCCATTGAAACCAACAGTTAACTAACTGAGCACCAATTTGTGAACTGCTAGGTGCCATGGATGGGGTACAAGATAATGTAGTTCCTGTCCTCAAGAACTTGTAAGTGACAAACGTAAGTAACCCAAACACACATATCAGTAATGAATATCAAGCCGTTGGAGTAAGGGCTGTAATAGAAGTAGAAATAAAGTGCTGTAGCGCTAGTGGGGAAGGAGGGATTAGTGATAGTCTCTGCAATCAGGGAGGCCTCCTGAAGGTAGTTTGGGGCAAGCTGATTGTGTTAAAAATGAGTCGGGCCTGGGGGAGGGAGGGAGGAATGGGTGGAGCACAGAGAGATTTTTAGGGCAATGAAACCATGTTTGTCTGTATACTATAATGGATACATGACGTTACACATCTCTCCAAACCCAGAGAATGTACAATATCAAGAGTGAGCCCTAATGTAAACTGTGGACTTCAGGTGATATCGATGTGTCAATATAAGTTCATCAGTTGTAACAAATTTACCACTCTGGTGGGGAATGTTGATAATGGGGGAGGCTGTGTATGAGAGGAGTGGGGACAATGGCAAATCTCTGTATTTTCTGCTCAATTTTTCTGTGAACCTAAAACTGCTCTAAAAAATAAAGTCTTAAAAAGAAAAAAAGTAGTACCTTACTTACCAAACATGAGCAAGGAAGACCACAATGACACTCATAATAACTACATGGGGTGGGGGGAGGTGATTATGTGTTGGACATGGCTAAAAGTTTATATTTGTTACTTAATCTCTGCAACAATACTGTTGGGTAGGTATTATTTTCTCTATTTAATAGACAAGGAAACTGAGGCCTATGCAGAAAGGCTTGATAGAAAATATAGGGAGAGGAAAAAGCAAAGGTGTGTTTGGGGCAAATAACCTGTTATTTCTAGAGTAGCAGGTATGCCTCATCGGGTGGAAGAAAGGGAGGGACAAGGGCAGGTGTGGGGTCATGATGATAGAAAAGCACAGGAACCCTATGATAAGGCTTTTAAAGCCTCAAAGGAATTTGGACCCTCACACTTTGGACACTGGAAAACCTTTTGAGATTTCAGAGCAAGGGACTCTGCTCAGGGATGTGTTTGACATATGTGGAGGAGAGTTGATAAGGCAGAGATGAGAGGGAGACCTGTGGAGTCATGAGGTGAAGGGAGCTTAGATTAGGGCAGTGGGCAATGCAAAGGCATAGATCCTAAAACTTCCACATGGAGAAATTAAAATGGGCTAGGGGAATAAAGAAGGCAGAGGTACCCTTGATGGAAAACACTGCAATCACATGCTGAGCCCTCCAACCTGCCTCATCAATGCCAGGTCCTATGGTGGGGGTGGGGGCAGATTTCCAGAATCCTACTGAATAGAAGTCTTGGTTCCACCCTGGACTATGATGTGCCAAACCTCTAAAACCAAAGGAGGGCAAAGTCTTCTCAGAGAGCAGCGGTGAAATCCTGAAAATTGTTCTCAACGCCCACATTAAGTGAGGAATCTCAGAATCAGAGTGGCCTGTCACAAGAAGACTACCAGTTTGATGCTGGACCCACTCCTCAAAGGTCAAGGAGTTTTATCATTTCCCAGCAGTCAAGAATCTGGTTGGACTAAACCCTGTATGGGAACGCGGCTCCCGCTCCCCTGCAGAGGCTTTGATTCTGGCTTTTGATTGCCACAGGGCTGGCAGGCTTCCCTCTGGCTCCCACTCTCTCAGGAAGGCATCCACAGCTGCTGGCCACTTGTCACACCCTGTCTGGGAGGTGGCAGCACTTCAGTGGTAAAGCAACAGATCCTCAGGCTGTGGCTAACGGCTTCAATGTTTGTTGGGAATTGTGTCATATTTCCCGAAAGGGCTAACTCCATCTAGTACTGGTAGAATAGTGTTCTTTCCTGTACAATACAATGAAACCTCAATGCCCAACTGAAATAAACAGAATTTTAACAGTGGTCATGTTATGGTGATGCTGAGATGCTTAGACATTTAATTTTTTTATTTTTATTTGTTTTTCAGACAGGGGCTTGTTCTGTCTTCTAGGCTAGGTGCAGTGACGTGATCATGGCTCACTGCAGCCTCAGCTTCCCAGGCTCAAGCGATCCTCCCACCTCAGTCTCCCAAGTAGCTGGGACTACAGGTGCTGCCACTACACCCAGTTAATTTTTAAATTTTTTGTAGAGATGGGGTCTCACTATGTTGCACAGGCTGGTCTTGAACTCCTGGCCTCAAGCGATCATCCTGCCTTGGCCTCTCAAAGTGCTGGGATTATAGGCATGAGCCACAACACTCAGCTGGCATTTAATTTTTTTACCCATGCTTCATTTCTTCCCTTTTCTCTAAATATCTTTAAAATTACTATACCGCTTTAAATATTTTCCTCTTCTCAAAATATCCTTAATTTTAGAAATAAAAGAGTTTTAGTAGTAAAAAGTTAGGCTAGGTGAGGTGGCTCATGCTTGTAATCCTAGCACTTTTGGAGGCCAAGGCAGGGGAAGATCCCTAAGGCTAGGAGTTCAAGACCAGCCTGGGCAACATAGTGAGACCCCCATCTATACAAAAAAATTAAAACTTAGCCGGGCATGGTGATCCATATCTGTAGTCCTGGCTACTTGGGGACCTGAGGTGGAAGGATCCCTTGAGCCTATGAATTCGAGGCTGCAGTGAGCTATGATGGTGCCACTACACTCTAGCCTGGGCAACAGAGCAAGACTTTGTATCAAAAAAAAAGCAGGCAATATCCAACCATATGACATTCTGGAAAATATACAACTATGGAGACAGTAAAAAGATCAGTGGCTCCTGGGGCTGAAGGGGGAGAGAAGGATGAATAGGCAGAACACACACGACTTCTGGGGCAGTGAAACTACTCTGTATGATATACTATAATGGTGAATATATGTCATTATACATTTGTCAAAACCCACAGAATGTACACTAAGAGTAAATCCTAATGTAAACTGTAGTTGGTTTGATAACGTGTCAATTCAGATTTAATTGTAAAAAATGTACCACTCTGGTACAGGACTTTGCTAGTACAAGAGATTGTGTGTGGGGGGTGGGGGACAGGTAAATGGGAACTCTTTGTTTTACACTTTTTGTTCACTTTTGCTGTAAATCTAAAACTGCCCTTAAAAAGTCTATTTTTAAAATTAAAGCAATATACTGGGGGTTAAAAGTTAGACTCAGAAATTGGACTGCTTATGTTCCAGTCCAATTCATTGGCTAAGTGGCCTTAAACCAGGGTTTTAGCCTTCAAGTCTTCAGTTTCCTCAGCTGTATAACTGAAGGAAGTAATAGTACCTACACCTCACTGAACTATTTTGAAGATTAAATGAGAATCCATACAAAGCAGTTAGCATAGTGCCTGGCACATTGAGGGCACTAAATAAATCTTAGCTACTATTATTATTATTATTATTATTATTTTTTAGACGGAGTCTCACTCTGTCGCCCAGGCTGGAGTGCAGTGACGCAATCTTGGCTCACTGCAACCTCTGCCCCTCCACCCCAGTTCAAGTGATTCTCTGCCTCAGCCTCCTGAGTAGCTGGGACTACAGGCGCCTGCCACCACACCCGACTAATTTTTGTCTCTACTAAAAGTAGAGACGGGGTTTCGCCATGTTGACCAGGCTGGTCTCGGGACTCCTGACCTCAGGTGATCCACCTGCCTTGGCCTGCCAAAGTGCTGGGATTACAGGCATGAGCCACTGTGTGCCCGGCCTATTTTTTCTTTTCTTTTTTTTTCTTTTTCTTTTTTTTTTTTTTTTTTTTTTTTTGAGACGAAGTCTTGGCTCTTGTACCCCAGGCTGGAGTGCAATGGCGCAATATTGGCTCACTGCAACCTCTGCCTCCCGGGTTCAAGTGATTCTCCTGCCTCAGCCTCCCGAGTAGCTGGGATTACAGGTGCCTACTACCACACCCGGCTAATTTTTGTATTTTCAGTAGAGATGAGGTTTCACCATGTTGGCCAGGCTGATCTGCCTGCCTCAGCCTCCCAAAGTGCTGGGATTACAGGCATGAGCCACCACGCCCGGCCTATTTTTTCTTTTTCTTAGTAGAGATGGGGTCCCACTGTATTATCCAGGCTGGTCTCAAACTCCTGGCTCAAGCGATCCTCCAACCTCAGCCTCCCAAAGTGTTGAGATTACAGGCTTGAGCCACCGCATCTGGCCTTAGCTATTATTATTATTGGAAATTTTTAATACATAATAGTTAATAAAGTTTTGGCTTTCTAGACATGTTTTTAGGTCCCTTGAAAATTCTTAAAGTGGTTGGGTGCAGTGGCTCACGCCGGTAATCCCAGCACTTTGGGAGGCCAAGGCAGGAGGATCACTTGAGGTCAGGAGTTTGAGACCAGCCTGGCCAACATGGTAAAACGCTGTTTCTACCAAAAACGTAAAAAATTAGCTGGGTGTGGTGGTGCGCACCTATAATCCCAGCTACTCGGGAGGCGGAGGCAAGAGAATCACTTGACGCCTGGAGGCAGAGGTTACAGTGAGCCGAGATTATGCCACTACACTGCAGCCTGGGCGACAGAGCGAGATTCTGTTTCAAAAAAAGAAAAATTTTAAAGTGGACAAAGACTTGTTTTAATGTTAAATACATATGCCTGACTTTTTCTCTCCAAAACGCTGCTTACTCTGATAAACACATTTCACCCTTTTCTCCCAATAAATGAGTACCCATAACCAGGAAAAATTTTGTTCCTTGTACCAAAGATAGGGAGATCCAGCTGTCTAAGACTGAAGTCTGCTTTCAAAACTCGTGTCACCTAGTCTTTAACCTCACCTACTAGTACCTGCCACCCAACCCTACCCACCCACAACTGTTCTTCAGCCCTCTCTTCTGAGATCCAGACGTATATATCCAACCAACTGCTTTCTTGACATCTTTACTTGGGTGTCTCAAAGGAACATCAAGCTCAACTTGTTGCCCTTACCTCAATGAATGACCTATCACCCATTCAGATGTACAAGCCAGCAATGTGGGAACCATGCTCAATTCCTTCCCTTTTACCCCCAGACAATCCCATCACTCAGTCTTAGCCATATTCTACTTTTAAAAATATTGTTGGGCCCCATTTACCTCTTTCCACCTCAGTCTCTGCTTAATTTAGGCCACCATTATCTTTCACCTGGACTTCTGCTGCAGACTTCTAACTGGTTTTTCCTGCATCCTCCTGCCGTCTTCCATCCTTCTTTCACACTGTAGCTTGAATCTTCTTTTAAAAATCCAAACCCGGCTGGGAGTGGTGGCTCACGCCTATAATCCCAGCACTTTAGGAGGCCGAGGTGGGCGGATCACGAGGTCAGGAGTTCGAGACCAGCCTGATCAACATGGTGAAACCCCGTCTCTACTAAAAATATAAAAATTAGCCGGACGTGGTGGCAGGCATCTGTAATCCCAGCTACTCAGGAGGCTGAGGCAGGAGAATCGCTTGAACCCGGGAGGCGGAGGTTGCAGTAAGCCGAGATCGTACCACTGCACTCCAGCCTGGGCGACAGAGTGAGACTCCATCTCAAGAAAAAAAAAAATCTAAACCCAATCATTTCAACATCACTAACAACCCAATGGCTTCCCATTGCTCTTTAAATATAGAGGCAGATATAATACAAAACTCCCAGGGAGGCCAGGACGGCAGACCAGGGACAGCTTGCTTACAGTTAACTCTTGTGTTCCTGCTGTAACAGCATATTTTATTTCATGACTAATAACCTTACTTTTGTTTCTGAGAAAAGGAGACAGGATTACTTTGAATTCTGGTACCCATAAAACTGCAACCATATAGTTCAGAGATAATTAGCCTTCTGAATAGAAACTTTCAAATATCCATGAACTGAGATATACATTTTTTAAAGATGTCATAAAGAAAATTTTTAGCCAGGTAAGACCTTAAAGATGTAGAGCAGGGGTTGGCCAACTACAGCCTGTGGGCCAAATCCAGCCTGCCATTTGTTTTGATAAACAAACACTTATTGGAACACAGCACACTCATTCATTTGTGTATTGCCAATGCTGTCTGCACAAAGCAGTAGAGTGTTTATGACAGACTATATGGCTTGCAAAGCCTAAAATATCTGACCCTAAACAGAAAAAGATTGTTATAGAAAAAAGTGCTCTAGAAGTTTCCCACCATGGGCTCCACATTAGGGTCACCTGGAGTACTTATAAAAGGGATCACCTCACCAGAAGCAGTGGCTCACACCTGTCCTCCTAGCACTTTGGGAGGCTGAGGTGGGCAGACTGCTCGAGCCAGGAATTTGAGACTACCTGGGCAACATAGTGAAACCTCATCTCTATAAAAAAATATAAAAATTAGCTGGGCATGGTGGCGTGTACCTGTAGTCCCAGCTAGTTCAGAGGCTAAGGTGGAAGGATCGCTTGAGGACAAGAGGCAGAGGCTGCAGTGAGCCATGATAACACCACTGTATTCCAGCCTGAGTGACAGAGCAAGACTCTGCCTCAAGAAAAAAAAAAGGATCACCTCAGAGATTCTGATTAAATCTGTCTGAGGTGGGACTGACTAAATCTGTCTGAGGTGGGACCCAATACTGCAATTAAAAAATTTTACATTTCTGCAGGTGATTCTAATATGTAGCCACAGTTGAGAATCACTGATCTAATCCTATCTCCTCTTTCACTGATGAGGAAAGTCAGGCCCAGATGTTAGGATCTATCCCTTTTGTAATAACAACTATTAACATCTATAAAGCCCTGTAAATTCATCTACATTATCTCATTTGATCCTTAGAACAATCTGAGGTTCCAAGAGCAGGAAGCATTACTGTCCCTGCTTCACAGATGACAGAATTGAGACTTGAAGAATTTAAGACATGTGCCTAGGATTCCTCAGGGTCATTGTGAGGGTAGGGGGAGGAGTGGTGTGGTGTGGTGCCGGGGTGTGTGTGTGTGTGTCTCCAATCCCTTTGCCTTCACTTCAGCCAGAGCAGATATATTTTTACTTGCTCAAGTATTGGGTCCCACATACAATTTTGTTTGAATAGCGTTTCACCTCTGAAGATCATTGATCTAGCTCAGACTTTTGTTCACTGTTTTAATCCAAGATGGCATAGTCATTCTGTACCCAAATTCCTGTCACTTCTTACATCATCAACCAGTTTTTCCTTGTTGGTCTATATGAAGTCCAAAATAATAGTTTCTCATAATACCAACATTCCTTTTTGAGAGATGAAGAACTTATCACTTTTAGCAGACCAGACTTCCCACATCTGTCAGGATAACTGAAGTTGCTCATTACTGCTTCCTGCCTACCTCCGTGCATACTGTGTAATCCATTTTAGGAAAGCATCAGCCTCATCCACTCTCTAGCTCAGCCACAGCATTTTTCCTCCCTGCTGCTTATGTCTGCCTCAGCCTACCCCAAATGCTCTCCACTTTGCTTCACTCTTGGGCTTTCCTTTCTATGGAAGTGAAGCACTAATGATGGGGAGGGTGAGGGGAGGAAATAAGACATCTTCTTGCATTTCTTCCTGTTCCCAGAGAAATTCTTTCTATTCCCCTCTCCACAGAGGTAAGAAGCCCCACACTGGGCAAAACACATGCAGCTTTTCATTCCATGGCCTTATTTGCACCCTTCCACAAGAGGAGGAATGACTGATTGGTCAGAGTTCTGGACATTCAGCAGGCTGAGTTTTCATCAGGACTAGTGCCTGAATGCACAAGGTGGTGCCATAGTTAACTTTGTCCTGATAAGTCAGGGTCTATTCTCAAACCTGGTAGGAAGATTATAGTTGAAGGTTGTAGGAAGCCCCCACTGTGAACCTACTTTTAGTACCAAGAATGACAGGGACACCCGGAGTCACACCCATAGCATAACCTCATATTTCAACAGTTATTTGAGGAGGCAATATCAGTGAGTTCTGCAACCCAATCACCAGAAGCACCCTATTGCTCAGGAAAAGCATAGTCCTTAAGTCTTAAGGAAAGAGGTTGTGACCTTTAATCAACATAAGGTCCCAACATTAGGTCCCGGATGCAGTGGCCTGTAATCCTAGTACTTTAGGAGGCTGAGGAGAGCGGGATTGCTTGAGCCCAGGAGTTTGAGACCAGCCTGGGCAACATGGTGAGACCCCATCTCTATAAATATAAAAATTAGCCAGGCACAGTGGCATGTACCTGTAGTACCAGCTACTCAGGAGGCTGAGGCAGGAGAATCACTTGAGCCTGGGAAGTTGAGACTGCAGTAAGCTGTGATCATGCCACTGCAGTAAGCTGTGATCATGCCACTGCACTCACTCTGGGCAACAGAGTGAGACCCTGTCTCAGAAAAAAAGAAAAAAAAATGAGGTTCCAGTGCTTTGGGAGGCTGAGGCAGGAGGATCACTTGAGGCCAGGAGTTCAAGACAAGCCTGGGCAACATGGCAAGACTTCATCTCTCCAAAAAATTTAAATAAAATAATTAGCCAGGTGTGGTGGTGGTACATGCCTATAGTCCCAGGTACTTGGGAGGCTGAGGTGGGAGGATTGCTTGAGCCCAGGAGTTCAAGGCTACAGTGAGCTAGGATTGCACCACTGTACCCCAGCCTAGGTGACAGAGTAAGACCCTGTCTCTTAAAAAAAATAAAATAAAATAAAATATTAGGAACATTTTTGCCTTCTTATTTTAATAGGATCATGTCTCTCACTTTACAAATTCTCAAAACATATGGTTCCCTTTTTACATACATATATAAACACTTTTAAACATAAATATCAAATGCATGAGAATCATATGGGCAGATAAATTTAGGAAGCCAAGAACACAGAACGAAAAGCCAGTCACCAGATCTTACAAATAATCATCTAAACTTCTCTGGCCATTCAATTTGATACATTATCCCAAATATTCCATGTCACATGGTCCACAAGGTTTTCTTTTGGGATTCTGAAGCAATCAATAGCCATACTTGTCATTAAGATGGGTTCTGCCATCTCCACTTTGACCTAGATCAGAATATAAAAAAAGAAATACATTATTTACTCTTCCAAAGTCAGGAGAGAAAAGATATCCAGATATCAGTAGGCCAAAAAGTAAAATAGACAAAAAGGTTTATTCTACGGTAGAAATTTTACTTTTTGTATGAAATTTCAAAATACAGCCCTCTTTCATTTCTACCCTAACATTTGTTAGCATAGAAAAAGCAGACATCTCAAGTAACTAAATTATATTAGTTACTAATATATTAGAAATCTCAAGCTGTGATGAACATATGAGGAAGTAAGTATCTCATACATTGCTTTAAGGGTGTGTGTATGAGCATAAAACTGGTACAATCTCTATAGAATGCAATTTATAATATCTTTAAAATGTTTATACCTTTGATCCAGCAGGTTAACTTTTATGATTTTTTTTCTATAGATGCTCCTCTCTACTTAGCATTTTATATATAAGTATCCATAAGAAACTAACAACAATTGGTTGTCTTGTGAGGAAAACAACCGAGTAGCTGAGGCACAGCCAGAATTGTTTTCCTTTCTTTTGACTTGGTAAAACCCAGATAACATTACACCTGTAAACACTTCCGTATATATTCCTAGAAGACAAGGACTTTTTCCAAAAAACATAACTCAACATCATTCACACTTTAAAAAAATAAAAAATAATTTCTTAGTATCATCAAATATCCAGGTAGTGTTCAAAATTATCTGACTGGCTAATAATTTTTTTAAACAGTTGTTTGTTTGAATAAGGATCCAAACATGGTATACAAATTATCACTACATACTCTTGTAACTTTCTTATGTTGAACCTTAAATCTATATTACCTATTCAAAAATATAAATAAATGAACCTTAGAGGAAAAAAAAGTAAAAACAATCTACCTTCAGGTGGGACCCACACACAGTAGTCTGGGTCATCTTCAGGATATTTGGAAGAAAGTGTTGGTGGAAGCTAAAAAGAAAAGATGGATTGTTTTATTCACAAGAATTTCTCTCCAGAAACCTTACAACTGCAGAAGGGATTGGGGTCCTATTGTTAGCCTCCTTAAGCAGAATAAACATTAGTCAAGAATTTTGTATCCAACAAAACTAAGTTTCATGAATGAAAGAGAAATAAAGTCTTTTTCAGACAAGCACATGCTGAGGGAATTTGTCACTACCAGACCAGACCTACAAGAAATGCAAAAAGGAGTTCTAAATCTTAAAACAAAAGGTTGGCATGCACCAGAATAGAACCTCTTGAAAGCATAAAACTCACAGGGCCTATAAAACAATAATGTAATGAAGGAAGAAAAGTATCTAGGTAACAATCAACATGATGACTGTAACAGTACCTCACATCTCAATATTAACATTCAATGTAAATGGTCTAAATACTCCACTCAAAAAAAAAAAAAAAATCACAGGCTGGGCGCAGTGGCTCACACCTGTAATCCCAGCACTTGGGGAGGCTGAGGTGGGTGGATCACCTGAGGTCAGGAATTCAAGACCAGTCTGGCTAACGTTGCAAAATCTCTACTAAAAATACAAAAATTAGCCAAGTGTGGTGGTGTGTGCCTGTAGTCCCAGCTACTCGGGAGGCTGAGGCAGGAGAATCACTTGAACCCGGGAGGCAGAGGTTACAGTGAGCTGAGATCACACCACTGCACTCCAGCCTGAGCTACAGAGCGAGATTCCGTCTCAATAAATAAATAAATAAATAAATAAATCGCAAACCAAATATCTGCCATCTTCAAGAGACTCACTTAACATGTGAGGCTTCTTATAGACTAAAGGTAAAGGAGTGGAAAAAGATATTCCATACAAATGGAAGCCAAATGCAAGCAGCAGTAGCTTTTCTTATATCAAATAAAATAGAATTTAAAGCAACAACACTGAAAAAAAGACAAAGAAGGCTATTATATAATTATAAAAGGATCAACCCAACAAGAAGATATTACAATCCTAAATATATATGCACCTAAAACTGGAGCTCCCAGATTCATAAAACAACTACTACCAGACCTAACAAAAGAGAAAGACAGCAACACAATGATAGTGGAAGACTTCACACTCCACTGACAACAGCAAACAGATCATCAAGGCAGAAAGTCAACAAACACTGGACCTATACTATACTCCAGAACAAATCAACTAACATATTTACAGAACATCTACTCCAGAACTGCAGAATATACAATCTTCTCATCAGTGCCTGAAATATTCTCCAAGATAGACCATATGATAGACCACAAAACAAATCTCAAATTTAAAAAAATTGAAATCATATCAAGTATCTTCTCAGACCACAGTCGAATAAAACTAGAAACCAACTTGAAAAGGAACCTTCAAAACTATACAAATACATGGAAATTAAACAATCTGCTTCTAAATGATTTTTGGGTTAACAATGAAATCACTGGAAATTTAAAAATTCTTCAAAATAAATAATAGTGACACAAGTTATCAAAACCTCTGGGATACAGCAAAAGCAGTGCTAAGAGGAAAAATTTATAGTGTTAAATGCCTACATCAAGAAGTCTTGAGCCAGGCATGGTGACTCACGCCTATAACCCCAGCACTTTGAAAGGCCAAGGCAGGAGGATTGCTTGAGCTCAGGAGTTCAAGACCAGCCTGGATAACATAGCAAGACCTCATCTCTATTTAAAAAAGAGAGAGAGAGAGAGAGAGAAAAGTCTGAAAGATCACAAATTGACAACCTAATGTCACACCTCAAGGAACTAGAGGAACAAGAACAGACCAAATGAGGCTGGGCGCGGTGGCTCATACCTATAATCCCAGCACTTTGAGAGGCTGGGGTGGGCAGATCGCTTGAGTCCAGGAGTTCAAGACGAGCCTGGTCAACATGGTGAAATCCTGCTTCTAACAAAAGTACAAAAATTAGCTGGGCGTGGTGACACACGCCTGTAATCCCAGCTATTCAGGAGAGCTGAGGCAGGAAAATTGCTTGAACCCGGGAGGCAGAGGTTGCAGTGAGCTGAGATCGCACCACTGCACTCCCTGGGCAACAGAATGAGACTCTGTCTCAAAAAAAAAAAAAAAAAGAACAGATTAAACCCAAAGCTAGCATAAAAGAAATAACAAAGATCAGAGCAGAACTAAATGAAATTGAAACAAAAGAAACTGCAAAAGATCAATGAAAAAAAAGGTGGTTTTTGAAAAGATAAACTAAATTCATAGATCATTAGCTAGATTAGACAAGAAAAGAAGATTCTATATTAGTTCAATTAGAAAGGAAAATGGAGACATTACAAGCAACACCACAGAAATACAAAAGATCCTTTGAGACTACTATGAACACCTCTATGCACACAAACTAGAACATCTAGTAGAAATGGATAAATTCCTGGAAACACACAACCCTCCTAGACTGAATCAGGAAGAAACAGAAATCCTGACCAAACCAATAAAAAGCAGTGAGATTGAGTCAGTAATTAAAAAATATTACCACCAACAAAAAAAAGCCCAGGACCAGAAGGATTCACAGTCAGATTCTACCAGACATTCAAGGAAGAATTGGTACCAATCTTACTGAAAGTATTCCAAAAGAATGAGAAAGAAGGAATCCTCCCTAACTCATTCTATGAAGCTAATATCGCCCTGATACAAAAACTAGGAAAGGACATAACAAAAAAAAAGAAAACTAGAGCCCAATATCCCTGGTGAACACAGACGCAAAAATCCTCAATGAAAGACTAGTAAACTGAATCCAACAGCATATCAGAAAAATAATACACCCTATTCAATACACCATGATCAAGTGGGTTTCATCCCAGGGATGCTGGGATGGTTTAACATATGCAAGTCAATAAATATGATACATCACAGCAACAGAATTAAAAACAAAAACCATATGATCATCTCAATAGATGCAGAAAAAGCATTCAATAAAAGTCAGCATCCCAGGATCATTTGAAGCTAGGAGTTTGAGACCAGCCCGGGCAACAAAACAAGACTTATTTCTACAAAAAAACCCACAAAAATTAGCTGGGCATTGTGGTACACAACTGTAGTCCCAGCTACTCAGGAGTCTGAGGTGGGAGGATCACTTGAGCCCAAGAGATTGAAGCTTGCAGTGAGCCATGATCACACCACTGCACTCCAGCCTGGGTGACAGAGCAAGACTCGGTCTCAAAAATAAAAATAAAAATAAAAAATAAAATTTTTTTGCAGCAACTTGGAGCTAGAGGCCATTATTTTAAGCAAAGTAACTTAGGAGTGGAAAACCAAATACCATATGTTCTCACTTATAAGTGGGAGCTAAGCTATGGGTATGCAAAGGCATACAGAGTGGTATGATGGACTTTGGAGACTCAGAGGGAGGAGGCTGGGAAGGGGATGAGGAATAAAAAATTGCATATTGGGTACAATGTACACTACTTGGGTGACAGGTGCACTAAAATCTCAGATTTCATCACTATATGATTCATCTATGTAACCAAAGAACCATTTGTAACCCAAAAGCTATTTTTTAAAAATTATATATATAGGTATAATTTTAACTCTAAGAACTATTGTCCTTATGCCTGTTAGCAAACAAAAACTAACAGAGAACAGTTTCTATTAATGATCTTGACATAAGTAACCTACTTGGGGGAATATTCTCTCTCTGAACCTTTTTTCCATAAAGCATCACAAGCTGATTTTCAGCCAGTGAGTTACATGACACTCTTTAAAAGGGGCAGTTAACACACTGCAGGTGTGAGTGCTAAATGGTACAGCCCCCATAGAGGGAAATTTGGCATTTACCTTTTGGCCAAGGTTTAGAAAAGTTAACAGAGCAAGGCTGACTGCTATCCATTGAAAACCTATTTGCAAGGTTTGCCCTTGGCTGGCATCTGGGAATCCAGACTTTGGGAAGGTTTCTGCTACCCTAACTGACAAGAATGGCTCATTGTGCCTAAACTGTTTGTACAAACAATATGATTCATGCTGAACACCTGCTTTCCTTCTGGAAGTCTGAATTTTGGTAGATGCCAGGCAGGGAATGCCTATGTGATCAGTCGCCAATAAAAACCCTGGGCACTGAGTCTCTAATGAGCTTCCTTAGTTAGCAACATTTCGCAAGTGTTGCCACAACTTGTTCTTAGGGGAATTAAGCATGTCCTGTGTGACTCTACTGGAAGACATCCTTGGAAGCCTGTGCCAGGTTTCCACCATATTTTGCCCCATGTTCCTTCTCCCTTTGCTGATGGTGCCTGGTGTCCTTTTGCTGTAGTATATCATAGATGCAAGTACAATCATACGCTGAGACCTGGGTCCTCTCGTGAATGACCTAACCTGTGAGTGGTCTTGGGGACCTCCTGATACAGCCTAGCACTTCTGGGAGCTTACTATATCCACACAAAATTATATATATACAAGATTGTTCATTATAGTATTATTGTAATAAAAGACTAAAAACAATGCAAGTGTCCATCTGTAAGGAACTGTTAGATAACGTCCTCCATATGGTGAGAAACTCTCAATATACTGTTACAAAATAATTTCCATGAGTGGTTTAAATAAATAAATAAATAAATAAAACAAAAAAACAGATGTAGAATGGAGTACATCACATCCTACCTTTTGTGTAATAAAAGGAGGAAAATAAGAATATGTTATTCAAATGTCTTTATATGGCAAATTAGGATATAAAGAAAGATTCATAAACTAATAAAAGAGATAGCTTGTATGTGAGCAGTTATAGGGAAAAGAGTGATAAAGACAACAGAAAATTCAAAAACAAAAATCAAAGAATCTAGATTTCTAGGAGAGGGGAATAAGGCTGCTGGGAACTCTGTTAAGTCAGTCTCCAAAGATTCACTTTTCTGGATGTGGTCCATGACAAAGGGATTCATTTTTACTCCCAGACAAGTGAAATACTTACTTTGCCTGGACCAGGTGTTTTCTTTTTCTTCAATTCACCTCTGCTTTTCTCATATTCATTCTTTGATGCTAATTTAAGAAAAAAAAACTGGCAATAGCTATTTTCAGTATAAGTAAAATAAAAAGGCAAAATTCTTCCTAAAAGAACATTACAATTATTGAAGAAAAGATGCTCATGACAATGCAATTCTCAACAATTCCTTCTACTGCTGTAAAAACTATATCAAGAGAAAATTTTTCCTGGATGAATAACCCTAGTTTTTAAATCCTAAGGCTGTTCTACAAGTTTGAATATAACCACATTATGCGAACAAGTTTAAAAAAAATGAGGCTGATTTTACTAGTCCACAGTTTAACCATTACAGGTAAAACCAGAGTAAAGCAGTCCTTTTAACAATTTCTTTTAAGATAGTTTTGGAATTACTCCCATAATAGGTACATATTTGACTTTGGGAGATGTAAAATTGTGGAGAGCTTTGCACAGCCAGAGGGAAGTATCAAGGCATTAGGTGCTTTGTGGGGGAGGGAGAGGGAACCCCAGAAGGTGGAAGAGGAGTAAAAGAAAGGCAAATGGGATGGCACCAAATACAAACCTCTCTTATGTTCCAACTTTGTCCAGGGGCCTAGTGGCAACATAACTAAAGGACCATTCTCTGTGCTGCCTTCAGGTCAGCTGCCAGCCCCTCCCTTATGAAACCAGTCAGCCACCTGTGTGCAGAGCAGCAATGAAGGCTGCCGTACTACTTGCCTGAGGGTCCTGCGCACAATGAAGTGGTTTTGCTACAGTCTTGATAATCTTTATTCTGTTCTTCCTCGCTAAGTTGAGACATGTTTTCTATAAAAAGCAATATCAAATCATATTGTCATGATTTAATTCATGGTGGAAAGCCAAACAAACAAAAACAAAAACAAGAGAAAGAGAAGCTAAGTACATAATCATCCAGTTTTATTATCATCAGCTTCAACTAATCTTAAGGTTTTAAATAAATATGTTTCAAATGTATTACAGAAAACTGCCAATTTTCCACTTAAAACACTAGCCAACATTGAGGTAAAACTTTTTAGCAATACTTACTAAAAGCCTCAAAAATGTACATACTCCTTGGCCTAGAAATTCTACTCCCAGAACATATTTTTTTAAAAATCAGAGATGACCACCAAAATTTATTATTATTTTAGAAACAGGGTTTTTCTCTGTTGCCCAAGCTGGAGTGCAGTGGGGCAATCATAGCTCACTGCTGCCTTGAATTCCTGGGCTACAGAGATCCTCCTGCCTCAGCCTGCAGAGTAGCTAGGACTACAGGCATGTACCACCATGCCTGGCCAATATTTTTTTTTTTTAATTTTTTGTAGAGATAGAGTTTCACTATCTTGTCCAGGCTGGTTTCAAACTCCTGGGCTCAAGTCATTCTCCTACTTCGGCCTCCCAAAATGTTGGGATTACAGGTGTGAGTCACCCAGCCTAGCCCCAAAATTTGTTATATATATGTTTGTAATAGCAAAAATTAAGAAATAACCTACATGTTCAACAATTGAGAGTTGACTAAATACATTATGGCATATGCATGTGATGAACCACTATGCTCCTTCTCTGAAACCACATTTTAAAAAGAATAGTCTAAGGCATAGGAAAAAAAAAACTAGGTTATAAAATAGCAATATATAAACTGGGCATGGTGGCTTACGCCTATAATCCCAGCACTTTGGGAGGCTGAGGTGAGAGGATTGCTTGAGGCCAGGAGTTTGAGACCAGCTTGAGCAACATAGGGAGACCCTATGACTCTATTTTCTCTACAAGCATGTGCCTTGGGAGGTCAAGGCTTCAGAGAGCCAAGATCACACCACAGTACTCCAACCTGGGTAACAAAGTAAGACTCTGTCTCAATAAAAGTAAATATTAAAGTAAAAATAAAAACAAACCACAGGAAAAAAGGCCTGGGGTAATCCCTCATCACTGCAAATTTACTAATTATTTAATTTTGTTTTGTTTTGTTTTTGAAACAGTCTCACTCTATCACCCAGGCTGGAGAGCAGTGGCATGATCTCAATTCACTGCAACTTCTGTCTCCCGGGTTCAAGCAATTCTCCTGCCTGCTCAGAGCCCTCCTGAGTACCTGTGATTACAAGCATGCACCATCACGCCCAACTAATTTTTTCTGTATTTTTAGTAGAGACGGGGTCTCACCACATTGGCCAGCCTGGTCTCGAACTCCTGACCTCAGGTGATCCATCCGCCTCGGCCTCCCAAAGTGCTGGGATTACAGGCGTGAGCCACTGTGCCTGGCCAAATTTACTAATTATTTAATCTTATAAACCAAGTTTCAAAATCTAAGCTATTTTTACACACACATACTTACTTTGGTCTGTTAAACAAAAAAATTATGATACTTATTGCTCCCCTCCTGCTGACCTGTTTATATCCACCTTCACAATATATGGCCCAAAGACCAAGCTCATGTAAGTACCTTTTTGAAAAGGACAAATGCAGATACAGAATACTTACCTCTCACAGATGAGGAAACAGTAACTTTTCTGTTTCCCAGACAAATGAAGGTGATTCAAGAGAAGGGCTACATACCAGGCCTGGAGTTTTTATGTAGCCAAGCCTGGTTTGTTGTGGAAGTAGACATGCATGCATTCCCATACATTCAGTGCCAGTTTTTATTGTTTCTCCTCATACTCCTTATTTTCTGAGATCTTTATCTTCCTAACCAGTTTGGCCAACCAGCAGGAAAATAACCCCTGCAGTTGACAAGGGATGAAAGGATACTAAAAAGATAAACAATGATCTTTAGGGGTGGGGTTGTGGGGATTTCTTTTTTTTCCTTTGGACTTTTATGTATGATCTATAGTTTCTAAAATGAACATATAACCCTTTGTAATTAGAATATATATATAGAAAATACAGAATTAATTGATGCATATATCTATATGAATATCAATCTATTCCGTCTTTCAACATTTTTCATCAAATATTTGCTGAGGCGGGTGGATATGTGTCAGGTTTTGTGCTAGGTTCCAAACACACAAAAATGAATGAAGCAAGATCCTTCTTGAGAACTTTAGTCCAATGAGTACAATTATGGTTTGGCCTCTGTTTTAGGGATGGAGGAAAAAATGAATAGGGGTTGACTTATCCGGAGACCACCTGATCAGGCCCCATCATGTACCCTGTTCCACTGCCCTCCAACTCACACAGTGGCAGCAGCTCAGGATTATTCCACAGCAGCTATGGTTTCAGATTCCATAGCCTTCAATTTTCTGTAATTCTGGAATGGATTGGAAATAACTGCCCTTAATTTGCAATGAAGACAAATAATGACTGGCGGTCAAAGGAAGAAGACCAAGAAAGTATGTTTCCTTGCTACAGAGTCAGTATATCACATACAAAGTCAAATGCACAGACAAGAACTGGCCTTGCTTTTTAAAACCTATCCACAATCAATGTAACTGCCCACTGAACAACACAGGAAGGAGAAGAAAGATATTACCATGGGTTTGGGTTTCTTTAAAATGTGTGAGATCTGTGGGAGGCCTCATTTCCTGCACTGCTGCTTCTGGCTCTATCTCTGGCTGTGGCCTACTGAGGCTTCCATCCTCCAGTTTTTTCTTTTCATGCTCCTCCTTTTCTTTCTCTTCTTCCTCTTCCTCTTCCTCCTCCTCTTCTACTTCAGGCTCATCTTTCATTCTCATTAGAGTTGGAGGGAGTTCTGGACGCTTGGGGGGTAACTTCTAAGAGGGAAACAAAACCATGAACAAGTAGTTCTACTTAATGACAACAAGAGAAAAATCTTTTCAAGGAGGTCAGTCTAAATGTACTGAATGTTTACTCTTTTTAGGTTGATGAACTCCACAGAAGTCTGCTGGAGGTGGGACTTTGACATGAAATTTTACCCCTCTATAGACCCTAAACAAGTGTCTTTATTAGTTCCTAGAGTCAAAGATTACTAAATACAAAACACTTGAAAATAGCTTGTAAGGAACTAAAATAGTTATTTCAGATGAGTGCCAGCTACAGGAATTCTGGACTGTTATAACTCATGATATTAAAGGATTTCAATTGATTACAAAATCTTCTAAGGAATAAATCAGACAATCAGAAATAAGTCATTTGTGCTGCTTTTTCATTTTAGACTTAGCGTAATTTCAAGGAAACAAGGCATGTAAATCCATCAAACAGATCCTGAAGAAAAGGAGGAAGACATTTCTCAAAGAATAAAGCTAAATATTCTAATCAAAGCCATTCAATAAAAGTATTTATTAGAAAAGGTTGATCACAGTTATGGAATAGAGGGAAGGAACCAAAGCATATCTTGGTTATATCTTTTTTTTTTTTTTTTTGAGACAGAGTCTTGCTCTGTGGCCCAAGCTGGAGTGCAGTGGTGCGATCTCAGCTCACTGAAACCTCTGCCTCCCCGGTTCAAGCGATTCTCCTGCCTCAGCCTCCTGAGTAGCTGGGGTTATAGGTGCGCAGGCCACCGTGCTCAGCTAATTTTTGTATTTTTAGTAGAGACGGGGTTTCACCATGTTGCCCAGGCTGGTCTCGACTAGTGAGCTCAAGCAATCCACCCACCTCGGCCTCCCAAAGTGCTGGGATAACAGGTATGAGCCACCGCGCCCGGCCTATATTATCTTTTAAATATAGGACTTAGTTCTAAAATTCTCTAAGGAGGGCTGTTTAGTAAAAAGTTTTCTATTTAAAACCTAAGTCCCCACCGCAACAGATTGAAAAGCCTACTTGTTAGGTAAACCATTACTCATTCAGAATACATAGTGAGGCCGAGGCAGGTGAATCATGAGGTCAGGAGTTCGAGACCAGTCTGGCCATGGTGAAAAACTGTCTCTACTAAAAAAAAATACAAAAAATTAGTTGGGCGTGGTGGTGGGTGCCTGTAATCCCAGCTACTCGGGAAGCTGAGGCAGGAGAATCGCTTGAACCCGGGAGGAGGAGGTTGCAGTGAGCCGAGATGGCCACTGCACTGCAGCCTGGGTGACAGTGTGAGACTGTCTCTCAATGAAACAAACAAAAAGAATACATAGCTAGGACTTCAGATTTCTGCCACCAGAGGGCAGTATACCCTAATTCAGGGTGTTTTGGACGAATTGTGCCCCCTGCTGCCCAAATTCATGTTTGAAGTCCCAAGCCCCAGTACCTCAGAATATGACTGTAAATTAAATTAAACTGAATTAAAATGACACTATTAGGGTGGGGCCCTAACTCAGTATGACTCATGTCCTTAGAAGAAGAAGAAGAGACACCAGGAGTGCAAGTGCACAGAGGGATGGCCATCTGAAGAGCCAGCAAGAGGGCAGCCATTGGTAAGCAGAGAGGCCTTAGAGGAAACCAACCCTGCTGGCAACTGTGAACAAATAAATTTCTGTTGTTTAAGCTGCCCAATCCCTAGTATTTTGTTATGGTGGCCCTAGCAAACTAATACTCAAGGTTCAGCTCTTAGGGGTAATGAAAACCTTTTAAAAGCTGAATCTATGAATAGGAATATAGATAAAGCAAAAACATACAGACAGACATATATTGTAGGGTAGCAGGGAAATCATAAAGCTCAAGAGACAGACCTGGATCTGATTACCAGCTTAGTTACATAACGCTGGTGTGATCTGGTATTTAACTTCTCTGACTCTATTTCCTCATTTGTAAGAGGCAATAATTCCCACACAGCAAAAGGTGTTGGAAGGATTAAATGAAGAAAAATCATATGGCAGAGGCAAGTGCACACACTATGTTCTTAAATGTTGGTGAGTCTGAACACTACATCTATCCACCTGGGGAAAAGCATTTAATGCAGGAGACCCATTCTTAAATGCAACATTCATGAGAAATTAATAAACTATGATTCTAATTTACAAACCATTTACTTGCAAATTGATTGGCATAAATTAATTCATCAATTCTTGATAACCCTAAGCTGAGAAAAAGAATCCACAAACTGGCCAGGCACAATGGCTCATGCCTATAAACCCAGCATTTTGGGAGGCCAAGGCAGGTGGATCACGAGGTCAAGAGATGGAGACCATCCTGGCCAACATGGTGAAGTCCCATCCTACTAAAAATACAAAAATTAGCTGGGCATGGTGGAGCACGCCTGTAGTCCCAGCTACTCGAGAGGCTGAGGCAGGAGAATTGCTTGAACCCGGGAGGCGGAAGTTGCAGTCAGCCGAGATCACGCCACTGCACTCCAGCCTGGTGACAGAGTGAGACTCTGTCTCCAAAAAAAAAAAAAAAAAAGAATCCAAGAACCAAGTTCTGGGAAAGATGTGATCATACCAAGCCCACAGCCCTTTCTCACATTACTATGGAATGAGTCATTTGTAGTTTCAAAAAAGAAAAGAGAAAAATTAGCTCAGGGATAACTCAAGGGCTAAAAGTTTAACACCCTGACTCACAACTTACCCCTACTGTTCCAGTTTTTAATTTGAATTTGCTTCCTCCTTTCATGGCACCAAATAGAGGCAATGTAAGCTTTTTAGCTTTGTTTTCTGCACCTGTAGTCTGAGTTTCAGTCCTAGGAAGAAAGAATAATTATACACATCTATTCCAGGGAGTCCCAAGGTTTTATCTAAAAATACCATGATACTGACAAAGAAACCTCTGGCAAAATAAAAATTACCACAAAATGAATATCTAAGCATATAACAATAAGAAAGAGGTATTCAGACCAACAGATTTTGAATGGACAAGAACAATGCTGACTGTCACAGACACAGAGCTATGATGAGGCTGCTCCCTTAGTCAAGTAATTTGCCACATGCTACATGACTTCACACCCATGAAATGACTACAGTACAAAGGTCACTGGCAAAGGAGAACATATAAGCAGCAGGAGATTGATCCATGGTGTAAAGCCCTACTTCCCACCAACCTCTGAAGAGTGTCTTACTTATCTGGAGCTCCCACTTAAGCGCAATAGCTCTGAGCACTTAAAAAAAAAAGTGTGCATGGGGATGGGGGTACAGTATGCAGGATACCCAGTGTAGTAATGACAAAGATATAGTGAGAGACTGCAACTGCTGAGCCTGTCAACATTCTCAACGGCTGGAGATAGTTAGAAAAGCTAAGCCCATTAGGACAAAGCTGAGGAAGGGTATAAAGAAGAGATAGTAGAAATTAGAAAGGCAGGGGGAGAACAGAGCAAAAACAAAAGGGATAGCAATTCAGTTGACAAGATACTCAGAGCAGGCAGAGGTGACAATGAGAATATGGCATGAGGAGACAGAGGAAACCCCAGAATAAGCATACTAGACTGAAAAGAAAGCCCTCTGTTTTCTTCATATTGACCATGGGACAGCCCTGAAAACTGGAATATAAGGACAGTAATGGCATTCGACTCACAGTGACCCATACCAGATGTTAGCTACCTGGCCCTCCCTGAAGCCCCACTTGCTACTACTGCCTTCTTTTACCTAAGTCTTATCCCCTTAGTAGCACTCTTAAGTCCAGCCTCAAGCCCCTTTCTCCCTACCAGAGATAAAACCCATTCCCTTGCTAAGGCCACCAGAAGAATGCTGCCTGCCTGGCCATGAAGGACATTTTGTCAAATCATTATCCTTCACACCCTTCCCCACAGGCCTCAGGAAGGCTCTGGCATAGAAAGACAGAAGCAACAGCAACACAGATGTTTTCAGCTACATTAAAAAGCCAGGCTGGCCTAGAGGATAAGCTAAGACTGGCTCAAAGGAGATGAAAAAGCAGAAGATGGAATCACAATCAAGATTGCTTGCAGGGGTTAGGGTAGGAGGCAGAAAGTTTGGAAGTTCAACCCATAAGTGAAAAGAGGAGGAAGAAGATACACATCTAGACCAGTATCCAAAATAGGAAAGGGAGGAAAAACCAGGCAAGCACACAGACTGATAGCAGGAGAGGAGGCTCTGGAGGAAGCTGAGACATATTTCGTTTTCGTTTTTTTTTTTTTTTAATTCTTCTTGCCCCAAATGTTGTTGTTGTTGTTGTTGTTGTTGTTGTTGTTTTCCAAAGCAGAGATTTGTTTTTGTTTTGTTTTTGTTTGTTTGTTTGTTTGAGACAGGGTCTTGCAACCTCACTCTCCCAGGTTCAAGTGATACCTCAGCCTCCCAAGTAGCAGGGATTACAGACAAGCACCACCATACCCAGCTAAGTTTTTATCTTTTGTAGAGACAGGGTCTCACTATGTTGCCCAGGCTGGTCTCAAACTCCTGAACTCAAGCCATCCTCCCACCTCACTCACTCTCCTAAAGTTCTGGGACTACAGGTGTGAGCCACCGTCCCCAGCCACTTTTATTAACAAATAGTTTTACTGTAACAAAATTATTATATGATTCTTACTTTTTCCAGTTATTTGTTATTTAGAACTAGAACTGCAACTACATTACAGTAAATTTGGACCTAAAGTGGTATGGCTATTTGGTACAGGATTTTCTTTTCAAATTCAGTATATCTGAATAGAATAGAAAGTATATTCACATGTTCAAAACTCAAGTATAAAGCACATATACTGTGAAAAGTCTCCCTCCCATTGCTGTCCCCCAGCCACCCAGTTGCCTTCCCCATTGGCAATCAATATTATTAATTTTTAACGAATCTTTCCAGAGATACAGTAGCAGATGCTGTCCCTCCCAGATTCCCTTTATCAGGCCAAACAGCTACTGCAGACATCGGCTGCTAAAGGCTCACACCTGCACCCTTCCCAGAATTGCTGTGAGCCCCTCCCACCCCCCAGTCACCGGCAGCCTATGACCAATGAAGGGTTGGGGGGACAGGGTATCGAAACCCAAGCCCCATGCCTCCATGGCATCTGTGGTGCCATTCAGGCTCTCCTGAAACCATATCTTAGCCCAGCTTCTTCTCCTGCCCTCTCCTGCTTCCCTCACTCCCATATAGATTTCTCCTGAGAGCACTCTCTTAATAAATCACTTGCAGATGAATCTCCGATTCAGTCTGTTTTTAGGGAACCCGACCTAAACAGATATTATAAACATAACCATGGCCTACTTATCTATGTATTCTTCCCCCACCATCATTTTTTACAGACAGCGCCTGTTATACACACCGTTCTGCACCTTGCTTTTGTTACTTATCTTGATAGTGTTTCTGTATCTTATATATAGTTGCCTTTTTTTTCAACAGCTATATGGTGTTCTATTGTATATCTACACCATAATTTATTTATTTTTTTGAGATGGAGTCTCGCTCTGTCGCCCAGGCTAGAGTGCAGTGGCGCAATCTCGGCTCACTGCCAGCTCCACCTTCCTGGTTCACGCCATTCTCCTGCCTCAGGCTCCCAAGTAGCTGGGACTACAGGCACCCACCACCACAACCGGCTAATTTTTTGTATTTTTAGTAGAGACAGGGTTTCACCATGTTAGCCAGGATGGTCTCGATCTCCTGACCTCGTGATCCGCCCAGCTCAGCCTCCCAAAGTGCTGGGATTACAGGCGTAAGCCGCAGCACCTGGCCGCAATTTATTTAATCCATCCCCTTTGATAAACATTTAGGGGATTTCTAATTTTTTACTACTATTAATACAAACAATGCTGTACATCATTTCCTAAGTATGTGAGGGACAAATTCCTAGAAATGAAATAGATCAAAGGGCATGTGCATTTGTAATCAGGATAGAGACTGCCAATTTGTCTTGTAGAGAATGTACTAATTTGTCCTTCAATGACAATATAAGAAAGTGCCTTTTTGTCAGCCTCATCAGCACAGTATAAAATCATAATTAATCTTCATCAAATTCATATATAAAAATGCTATTAAGACCAGGTGTGGTGGCTCACACCTGTAATCCCAGCACTTTGGGAGGCTGAGGTGGGCAGATACCTTGAGGCCAGGAGTTCAAGACCAGCTTGGGCAACATGGCAAGACCCCATCTCTACAAAAAATTAAAAATTAGCCAGGTATGGTGGAGCATGCGTGTGGTCCCAGCTACTTGGGAGGCTGAGGCAGGAGGATCACTTGATCCCAGGAGGTCAAGGCTGCAGTGAGCTGTCACTGTGCCACTGCACTCCAGCCTGGGTGACACAGTGAGACCCTATCTCAAAAAAAAAAAAAAAAGGTATTAGGTTGTAGTATTTGTATTTCTCTTATGATCATGAAGTTGAGCATCTTTGTATAAAAGATGCTATTTGTATTTCTTTTCCTGTGGCCTGTGAGTAGACATCCTTTACTCATTTTTCTCCTGGGTGGTTGGCTGTCTACTTATCATTCAGAGGTCTTTTTATTAATAATTTAATTTTTTTTTTGAGACAGGAACTTCCTCTGTCACCCATGCTGGAGTGCAATGGCACGATCACAGCTCACTGTAGCCTGGAACTCCTGGGCTCAAGCGATCCTCCTACCTCGGCTTCCCAAGTAGCTGGGACCACAGGTGTGCTCCAACATGGCTGGCTGATGTTTTTATTTTTTGTAGAGATAGGGTTGTGCCATATCACCCAGGCTGGTCTTGAAAGTGATCTGCCTGCTTCAACCTCCCAAAGTTCTAGGATTACAGGTATGAGCCACTACGCCCAGCCTCAGAGGTCTTTTTATATTAGATAAATTAGCTTTTTGTGCATGATGCTTTTTAAAGGAGTTTATTCTACACTAAAAGATTAAGTAAAAAAAACTTCGGAACCTTCCAATGAATCAGAAATCAATATAGTTTTCTCAGAAAATCCTCTATCAGTCTATATTTCACAAATATGAAACAGGTTTTTAGTTACTCTATGAAACCACTGCTTTCTGTGCTTTAAAGGGTTCCTTGCATTACATTTGTATTATATAATGATTATTTAAGAAGATAAAGCGATAATTGAAAATGTTATCTATGCTACCATACTTATTTAGAATTCCAAATATAACTAAGACTTACTTTTTTAGTTCTGGAATCTCTGCTGGCTTTACAATTTTTATTAACCCTTTAAGTCTCTGTTGTTCTTTCCTCAGTTCAAAAGTTCTCAGGTGAAGTTTCTTCCGGGACACACCATCTAATGTACTGCCTGATTTCATTTCTGACATGAACGCATCTAAAGAATCCTGAGATGGAGACTCTGATAGAACTGTCCAAGAAAAGAATAACACATGTTTAGAAAGATGATCCTGAATATTTTAAAATTCAGCCAAAGTTTCCATATAAAAGTCACTAACATAAAACCGGACAGAGGACATCACTAGTAATAGGAATAAGGAACAGGTTATAGCCATGAGACCTTGGGAAGTCATTTTGTCTCAATGTGCTTCATTCCCCTCAACAATTAAATAAAGAGGTTAAACCAAATGATTTATAATGTTCTTTCTAGTTCTAAAACGGTATGTTGCTCCTTTAAAAGGCTCCATATTCTGTATGGTATTTCTTATTAACTAATGTAGCCCCAGTGCCTAGCATAGAGCACTATATGTGGTATATTAATAAATATTTGATGAAAAACTTACCTTGGCTTGAGGCTTTCAATCTCTCAGAAATTTCAGAAAGTTCCCTTTCAGCATCATTTAATTTTGCAACCTGTAACACCCAAATCAACAGGGTTACAAAGTTTTTCTTCTTTCAAACTGTTTTTCATCCTCCTGTTTTAATTATTCTTACTAGAAGTTTTAAGAAGATTAATTCAAAAGTCCAGTTAAACTGCTACTTATGGAGTTAACACTTTTTTTTTTGTTTTGAGATAGAGCCTCATTCTGTTGCCAGGGTAGAGTGCAGTGGTGCAATCTCGGCTCTCTGCCACCTCCGACTCCCGGGTTCAAGCGATTCTCCTGCCTCAGCCTCCCAAGTAGCTGGGACTACAGGTGTGCACCACCACACCCAGCTACTTTTTGTATTTTTAGTAGAGACAGGGTTTCACCATGTTGGCCAGGATGGTCTCAATCTCCTGACCTCATGATCAGCCTGCCTCAGCCTCTCAAAGTGCTAGGATTACAGGTGTGAGCCACCACACCTGGCCAGAGTTAATAGTTTTTTTTTTTTTTTTTTGAGATGGAGTCTCGCACTGTCACCCAGGCTGCAGTGCAATGGCGTGATCTCGACTCACTGCAACCTCTGCTTCCTGCATTCAAGCAATTCTCCTGTCTCAGCCTCCAGAGTAGCTAGGACTACAGGCACACACCACCACGCCTGTCTAATTTTTGTATTTTTTTTTTTTTAGTAGAGGTGGGGTTTCACCACATTGGTCAGGTGGGTCTCGAACTCCTGACCTCAGGTGATCCACCGGCCTCAGCCTCCCAATGTGCTGGGATTACAGGCATGAGCCACCATGCCCAGCCAGGAGTTAACACTTTTTATGTGTTAAATCCAAATTTAATTTATTTCTGAATTAAAAAACACAGAATTAAACAGAATGAATAACTCGGACTTCATTTTACTCAGAAGAAAGAGCTCAAGGCATTTGTTTTCACATAAATCAAAAGGATAGATGTTGGGTAATGTTTTAAGCTCTGAATCCTACTATAAATTAATACCTGTAACAAATTCCTTGAAGTGCAATTGCTGAATCAATGCATTTTTAATACTGACAGATGTCGTAGGATTGATCACTTAAAAGGTTGTATTGTACATTCCCACCAATTGAGAGTCTACTTCTCCATATTCTGGTCAAGCTCTGCATTATTAATCTTATGTTTTTTTCTAGTCTAATAGGTAGCCTATTACCTGCCTATTATTGTCTGTTACCTACCCATTAACACGTCACCTTGTGATAATTTCCTGAAGAACATACTGTTTCAGACTACATATTACCATACTACATTCTTCAAAATTCCTTTGACTTCTCTTGACTGCCAGAAGGCTAAAGTCAATTTCACCTCAGAACGCCCTAACTTGGAACTTTTTCCTTTCCTTTTGAGAGAGGTAATATCATATCCAAAGAATGTTAATTAATGGATCAATATCCTGAAGGAAAGGATCTAGCAGCAAGCCATATTTTTTTCAAACAACTTGGATAAGACTAGTTGTCTGTTACCATTAAATTAACAGACCACAAAAGTTATACTTCAGTATCAGATTTCAATGCTACTACTTTAAAAATTATCATAAAACATATTTAAATAATACATTATGTTATTAAAAATTAAACTATTAAATACCACAGCTACTTCCATAAATAAAACTTGCCAATGATTCAAAGGTCTCTGGCTTCTCATCAATCTTGCCAGCCTTCTTCATTCTGTTCAGACGCTTCTTCTCAATCAGGCCAGTCCTATCAAGAAATGTGTCATCATCACTATCATAAAAGTCTTCATCTTCCCAGTTCTTGGCTTTCCTTTTCCGAGATACTAGAGGTAGATAAAATGATGAATAAATAAGTTTTTAAAAAAGAAAAGAAAAAGAAAGAAGGCAAGTAGGCAAGGAGCTTAAAATGTCACCATCAACTACTGAAAGAGAGGTTCTACAAGCTGCCAAACTACGTATAAAAACAAAGGGCTAAACCTTGAAGACATTATACTAAGTGAAATAAGCCATATATAAAAGGACACTTACTGCATCATGTGAGATACCTAAAGTAGTCAAATTCATAGAGACAGAAAAGTAGAATGGTGGTTGCCAGAGGCTGGGAAGGAGGGAGAATGAAGTTAGTGTTTAACAGATACCAATTTCAGTATGGAATGATAAAAAAGTTCCAAAATGAACAGTGTTGATGGTTCCATAATATTGTGAATGTACTTAATGCCACTGAGTGATACTCTTAAAATGCTTAAAATGGTACACTTTTCTGTTATGTATATTTTCCCACAATTTCTTATTAAATAATTTTTCATTAAAGCAAATAGTTAATTTATTTAATGAGCAAACGGCTTTTAAAAATCAATGAGGATGGCCAGGCATGGTAATCCCAGCACTTTGGGAGGCTGAAGGGGGATGGATCGCCTGAGGTCAAGACCAGCCTCACCAACATGGTGAAACCCCGTCTCTACTAAAAATACAAAAATTAGATGGGCATAGTGGCGGGTGCCTGTAATCCCAGCTACTCAGGAGGCTAAGGCAGGAGAATTGCTTGAACCTGGGAGATAGAGGTTGCAGTGAGCCGAGAAAGCGCCACTGCACTCCAGCCTGGGTGACAAGAGTGAAACTCTATCTCAAAAAAAAAAAAAAATCAATGAGGAAAAAAGGAAAATGAAAAATGAGAAAAAGGACAATAACCCAAAAGAAAATTTGAAAAAGGATAATGAAAGCAGTTCACAGAAAAATACAATAAATATTTTTAAATATGTTACTTTAAAAAAAAATAAAGTACAAATTTAAAAATTAGATACTTCTCATCTATTAGACTAGAAAAACATAAAAAGATTAATAATTGGTGGGAATGTACATTGATACAACCTTTTTGATGGTCAAGCCTACAATATCTGCCATTAAAAATGCATTGATCCAGCAATTCCACTTCTAGGAATTTATTCTATAAATATCAATGCAATAGTATTTATAACAGTGAATATGTAAAGAGTCCATCAATAAGAAACTATGACAGCTATTACTTTTTTGTTCACCCTACAACATTCTACTCCCTTTGTTCTGATAAAAGTACCTCTTTCCCCTAGAAAATTCCTCCCCCATTTTATCTGGTTTAGGGATAGTCATAGGACCAAAGCCAAATCAGTAAGACTCTTTCCCTCATATTTATATTTAGAGATGGGGCAAAGAGGCTCTCTTTACAATGAGGTTATTAAAGTGAGAGACTGTTAAGTTCAGGGCTGTAAGCAATCAGCTTTTCAGCACAGGGTAAGAATCTGTCTGCAAAGTTTAAAAATGCACTCGTGAGACAGACTCACTCACAGACACACACACACACACACACACACACACACACACACACACAACTTGTATATGTCCTGGTGATGCTGAGTCTACTTTGGTAGTACTAAGTTATGGTTTCAGAACTTGAGGTTCTGGTTCATGCAGTTGTTCCTTCACTCCTGTTCCTTCATCCTGAGCTATTCTTCCCAGCTTCTGCAGCCAATGACCTTTCCCCTAAGCTAGTTTGAATTGGACTTCTATTATTTGCAAGGAAAATAGTCCTTATTAATATAAGCCTAATTTGCAGGTTAAGATGGTACATTAAACACACATATCTAATTTCCCTCTTTCCCTAAATCCCAATAAACCATAGTAAAGAGATGTACCCACGCCTGGGCAACATAGCAAGACCTTGCCTTTACTAAAAATAAATCTAAAAAAAGTAGCTGGG